>NW_019805493.1:0-172555 GCF_000001405.40 Homo sapiens | reverse complement strand
ATAATTTTAAGTACCGCATTTGGCTGTAAAGAAAAATTTAACAGCTCATATGGGTGCCAGTTACAGCCAATTACACTCCAGTTTTCCTGCCTTGTCACTACTCTACCTCTAAGAAGCCATGTCGCCTTTGAAAATGAAGAATTTACTGCTCAAAATCCAAACTATTAGGGTGTTTCTGATTTCACGAGTCCTTTATTGAGAAATAGTTTAGATACATAGCTTCAGGGGACAAGGCCAAAACCAATTCTAAACTATTTTCTCACAAAAGTTATAGCTTAAGGATATATATTATTGATGAACATAGACATAATTTACTTTAGGAAACCTCTTTGTTCACATTTCAGTCACTTTATTATAAACGATATGCATAGAAGAAGAAATAAGAGTTCCTACGCTACCTTTCCAACTGTTTGGGAAACACACTCATCAATTCAGCATTGATAACTTTTTCTTTACCATCTGACTCCCACCACCTCTTCTAAATCTAGGGCCAAAAACCTTCAGGTCATTTCACAGAATATTTCCTACCTCTTAAGCCAATATAAACACTGTAGGAAACAATTTAAAACAATCTAGGTTATACCTTCTTCAGGGAATGATGCTTCCACGTGGTTAAAAATATCCACACACACAGGCCCAAACATGAGCAAGGTCTTCTAGGAATTAGATGACAAACAGGGCCGTAAAAATATTACACCGTCATCTTCATACTTGAGCTTTTCAAAAAGCACCGTTCACACTGAAAACCATCTCTACTTGGAGCATTCACTTGTTGATTCTGCTATCTTTCATTCTGCAAAGTTGCCTACCTTTAGACATCCCTGTCAAATCAGTTTTTTTTCTTGGTTAACTCTCCAGAGAACTTAATATATTGTCATACCACCGATGAGCATGAATTCAGCTCTCAGCTGATAATAAACACTGAGCAAAAGTAAAGGCACTCTTTTCCAGGTCAAAAAAGATTTCAGACAACCTAGAAAGTTACTAACAAAATCATATCAATTATTTCAATTCACTCATTATCCCATTCTTCCATTATTACTAAAGTGACTATGAGCATACTAAGTTATTTCATGCATTCTACTTTGAGAAATTTTATTAAAATGTTAATATACACAAAAATAGCATGGTTTCATAAACTCTCACATATCCACTAACACCTCTAGCCGATTTCATAATTATCAATATATTACCATTTTTCCTTCATCCATAAAATTTGTTCTCTCTGATTTTAAAGCACATACTATAAATCTGAAAATTATATGGAATTTTTTACATAGTCATAATAGCATTATTCTACCTAGAAATATTAATAACAATTCCTTGGAATTATCAGATGCCAAATTGATACTATAATTTATCTTGTCTTTTTATGATTTATTATTTGAATAAGAAACAAACAGGCCTATAAATTGAATATGGTTAAAATATTCCGTAAACACATTTCGATCTAGAGAAATTATTTCTACTTTTCTATTCTTTTGTGAGGAAATTCACATTTCATTGCAATTATTTATTTCCATAAGTTATCTCCTTACCCATGTCTTTTCTTACTTTCTATCTTTATAGATATAGAAAATAACAAAAGGAGCATGTATTAGACGCTCAATTAAAAAAAATTATTTCCATAGGTTTTGGGGGAACAGGTGGTATTTGGTTACATGAGTAAGTTCTTTAGTGGTGATTTGTGAGATTTTGGTGCGCTCACCACCCAAGCAGTCAGTATACACTGAACCGAATCTGTAGTTTTTTATCCCTCACACTTTTCCCACAGTTTCCCCCTGAGTTCTGAGAATCCACTGTATCATTCTTACACCTCTGCCTCCTCATAGCTTAGCTCCCACTTACAAGTTAGAGCACGCAATATTTGGTTTTCCATTCCTGAGTTACTTCATTTAGAATAATAGCCTCCAGTTCCATCCAGGTTGCTGCAAATACCATTAATTCATTCTTTTTTTTATCATGGAGTAATATTCCATCATGAATACTACTGTGAATCAAGAAATGAATAATGAAATGAATGACTAAATGAATAAATAAATGAATACTACTTTGAATAAAGAAATGAATAAATTTGCAATGAGTGAATAAATAAACTGTGGTCCACAATTTTTTATGAGTTAAGGAGAAATCATTTAGGCTGATAGTGAGGGTAGGGGAGTCCTCGGTAAGGTTTTCCTTTTAGTGAAAAACAACCCCAAAATCATTTTATTTTCTAACAAACAGCAGCCTATGAAATCAAGCTGCAGACATAGACTAGCAAGCTGGAAGCTTTCACACATGAATGCCGGCAGTTGTGCCAATAGGAAAAGGCTACCTGCGATTAGGCATGTTCAAAATCGCAGCTCCGTCTTCTCTTCTCTTTGCCAAACCATGTGTACAGTAAGGAGAAGACAATACGGTGCAGGCCGGGCAAAGACCCAATTTGCATAATAAGATTAGGGTGGGGCGACCACCCATCCCTTCACGCTATGTAAATGTCACACTTGGTCGAACCAATTTGTGGGCCCTATGTTAACCACACACTGTCTCCTTAAGCCTGCCTATAAAATCTGGTGCTGTCTGCTGCAGGCTGGATTTTTCCTTTTGGGAGCCCCTCTCTCTCACACAGGGAGAGAGCTGTTCTCCTTTCTCTTTCTTCTTCCTATTAAACCTCCACGCCTAAACTCAGTCCTCTTGGGTGTCTATGTCCTTAATTTTCTTAGCGAGAGACTACAAACCCGGGGTATTTACCCCAGACAACTACCCCGCTTCATATTGGGAATCTCAGCCAGGATCCCAAGGTACATTCATCGGAACGGTGAGTAAAGGAGCAGACCCCAACTCTGTCCTTTCCTTTTGGTGTGTTGTTGTAATCTTCAAGAGTAGCAAATTTACGTGGTCATATTCTTGGCTTCTCTGCTTAAAGAATACAACATCCGACTGGGTGATTTTAGCCTACTTATAAACCACGGTTTATGGAGATGAATTTGTTCTTTCAAGCTGCTTTGGTTTTGAATGCATTCTGAGGAAAGAAAAGCTAAGAGTTTCTGCTGTAAATAGATCAGGCCACTGGTAACCTGGAACAGCTCACTGTGTTCTAGAACTATGTTCTGTTTCCTCTTGAGACTATCATTGGAAAATTGGCCCATCTCACTTCAAACATATAAATAATTCATACAAGTTGTCAAAAACATTTTGGACCTAAATTTAAAATCAACATTGTCCTCCCTAAAATAAAGTCCACATTGTCTCCCTCAAAAATAGAGTATAAAACAAATCCAGAATTAAACAGAAGATAAATTCCTATAAGTTATAAGCAAATATTTAAATAAATTTTGATAAGTATTTTTAAATAGTAAACTATAGTCATCTGTAAATATTCAGCTTAATTAAGTCTTTTTCTCCTAACATCTTAATAAAAATGTGGAAATCTGTAGAAGCCCATAGCCCGAGGGAACCAGTGTTATGCATTACAGTCAAAAGAAAAATGAAGATTTCTAGTTGGTTATTTTCCAATTAGCTTTATATCTGTTTCCCCAAACAAACACAACATAGTTTCTTGGTAATGTTTTCTACAAATAAATTCTTCTCACCTTGCTACTCAATTATTTTATTCACTTTGCCCTATTCTTACCCATTTAATTAATCATGATGTGTTTTGAATTCTGAAATTTACCTTTTCTTGATTGAAAGGAAAAATAAAACTGAAGAAGCAGACTTAGATGAACCAAGTGACCATGTTTTACTAATGTAGGTTATTTGTTGGAATTCAAATACACATTCTTTTTTTTTTTTTTTTTTTTTTTCTTTGAGACAGAGTCTCGCTGTGTCACCCAGGCTGGAGTGCAGTGGCGCCATCTCGGCTCACTGCAAGCTCCGCCTCCCGGGTTCAGGCCATTCTCCTGCCTCAGCCTCCCAAGTAGCTGGGACAAGAGGCCCCCGCCAACACGCCCGGCTGAAGTTTTTTTGTATTTTTTGTAGAGATAGGATTTCACTGTGTTAGCCAGGATGGTCTCGATCTCCTGACCTCGTTATCCACCCACCTGAACCTCCCAAAGTGCTGGGATTACAGGCTTGAGCCACCGTGCCTGGCCTCAAATACACATTCTTAAGCTTCCACCACTATGTTCGAAACATGTAACCAAAGTATCAATTCTCATGGTCTCAGAGTAGACTATATGTGGACTTATTCTTTGAATGAGACAAAATCTTAAATTACTCTCACCAGTAGAAGAGAAATACTGTGCAATGATATAGGGAGAATTTGACTTGGAAATTAGAACTTATGAGTCTCAACTCAGCTGTATTCTTAATGTTGTATGTCATTTATGGATAGAATACAAATAAATGTGAATAAGGTACAAAACTTCCATGAGCCAGTGTCCTCAGAAGTAAAATAAAGAAGCCAATATTTAGAAAAATGTAAATTATATAATAATTAAATTCTATATACCACAAATTTCCATAGAAAATATATAACTAAGAGACAATCACCATGGTGGTATGAAGTATTTTTTAAAGCAAAAATCACTAACTTTTCACATGTTAGTACATAACAGAATCCTAGTTTGTGAGACTAAAATAATCCGATTATTATTTCTGCCTAATATGTCATATTTCAATAGGACCAAAGGTTAATTATTAGGGGAAATGACTATGTCATTCTTGGACCCTTCTGTATAAAACATAGTAAAGATTGTGTAGCATTGTTTTGCTAATTTTGATATTTGGGGATTTTTTTTTTCATTTTTACTTAATAATATTTAAACCTGAGTGCCATTCACTTGATACTGGTTTTGAAGTTCTGTCTTAGTTTGGGTTTCACAGAAGCCAATCATGATATAAGCACCAATGAAGTAGTAGAGAAAGTAAGAACAGAGAAGAAAGGCCAATTTAATGTTAATTAAGAGGATTGAGCAACTGGATTCAAGTGTGTGAGGAAACTGAATACTACACAGAAACACTTCAAAATTGTCCTTGAGAATGGAGAAGGAAGGATATTTATACACCAATCCCTTCCCTCATTAGTTGAGGGAAGTTCTAGCCAAATTTCTATCCAGGAAAAGAAGGAGAGAAAATAAATAGGATCAATGTGACAAATGACAGAGGAGTTATAATATATCCTAAATATATTATCAGTATAATAATAAAGGATTACATACAACTTCATGCCAATTATTTGGCAACTTAGATGAAACAGACAAACTACTTGAAAGACACTAGCTACCCAGCCTCACATAAGTAAAAATAGAAGTAAAAAAAAATATTGAACACTTACAGTGTTCAGGAGTCATTGTGGAGGTGAGGAAAGATAAAGGAGAATATTCAACAAGACAGAACAAGAATATGTCAGAGAAATAAAAAAGGTCTTGAAAGATGCAAAATCACAAAAGACGAAAGAAAAGAATATTTCACAATATGACAAAATATTTTGAAATGTTTATTGATAATAGGGTTGCGCAAGTTATGGCTGACCTACAAGAGAATGGTTTTAGTAGAATAATAGGAGTAGATGCCAAATTACAACAACTCAGAGAATATGTAAATAGTTGGATAGTTGAAGAAACTATATATAAAGTACCACTTCAAGAAGCGTGTTTACTGAGACCAGGTACATCCATGGTCATCTAAAATGTTTGTTCGCATATTTTCTACTCCTTTAACACATATGGTACTCAGCTATTTAGAGGTGTGAAACTTCACGCTTAGCTTTTGGACTTTCACAGTTCTTTGCCTACTTTATCCTTCTGGGTTCACTCGACTTTTCCAATTTCCCAGTCTCAGTGAACCCATGCACATACAAACACATACTCATTCTTGAGAAATTCTGTCTGTTTCTTATGAACAACCTGAGTGGGTTTCTGAGAACCACATCAGCACTTAAGACATTACATTGTATGTATTTGTTTAAATGTATGCCTCTGTGAGATTCTAAAGGCAAAAATAATGTTTCATTCTTTGCTGATTCAACCAAACACCACATGTTCTCACTCACAGGTGGGAATTGAACAATGAGAACACTTGGACATAGGGTGGGGAACATCACAAACCGGGCCTGTCATGGGGTGGGAGAAGGAGGGAGGGATAGCATTGGGAGATACACCTAATGTAAATGACAAGTTAATGGGTACAGCACACTAACATGGCACATGTATACATATGTAACAAACCTGGACGTTGTGCACATGTACCCTAGAACTTAAAGTATAATAATAATAATAATAATAATAATAAATAAAAATAATTTTAAAAAAAGGAAAAAAAAGAAAAGAAAAACTTTCTGTGGTCCCCAGGGATTGCAACTTTTTGTAATCCATTGTAGATTGTCCTCTTACCTACAAACATCTCACTTCTTTTCTTATTTCTTTGGCACTGGGAGTAAATTCTAACACCCCGCTATTTCTTCAACTAAAAGCAATTACAATGCCCCTCCTGAAAAGGCAACCTATCTTTGACTCTCTAACTTAGCCAGACTAGATTTGTTTTAATTTTTTATGTTGTCATGACAACTTACTCCAAACACACTCAAATGGGCCATAAATTATTTTAATTCCCAGACTGCACAATTCCTATTTTCTCTTCTTGCAACATTTCTTTCATACTTTCCACTCATCCTTCCTTTACTTAGCTTATTAATGGGATATACACTTTCTTGTAAGTAGAGATCAACTGTGAAATCAGGTTATTATTCTTACTAGTCAAGATATAGGAACAATATGTGTTCCCTGACAAATAAGTGGATAAAGAAACTGTGGTGCATATATACAATGGAATATTTTTCAGCCTTAAAAGAAGAAGAGAACTATACTGCCATTTGCAACAACATGGATGAGCCTAGAGGACATTAGACTAAGTGAAATAAGCCAGAAACACAAAGACACATACTGTGTTATCTCACTTATATGTGGACAGTCTGAATATGCATTTAGGTAGGACAAATAAGTCTAGAGATATAATGTATAGCATAAGGCCTATGGTTAATAATATTGTGTTGTATATAAAAATTTGCTAAATGAGTAGAAGTTAGGTATTCTTATCAAAAATGATTACTATGAAAGGTGATGAATATTGCTAATTTGACTGTATTAATCATTTGACTATTAATGTGTATGTCAGAAGATTATATTATACATTTTAAGTGTGTACAAAAAAAATGAAGTTAAAAAAGTGAAATTGAGTTAATGATATTGAAAATTATCTTACCAGTTCAGAGTTTGTAGGTAAACTCTTGTCCATGAGGCCATCTGTAGGTGTATATTCCTGACTTGTAGAGCTCTCAATACTAGAGCATTGCATTAGAATGGAAAAGGAAGGGAGTCAGTCTACCTCCTTTTACCTACATATCATAAGCACATTTTCCCTCCTATTCTATTCATAAGAGCTTAGTCTATTGGTTACATCTGGCTGCAAATGATACTGGAAAATAGCATTCATTCTTGGCAACCAGCTAATATTCAAGGTTCTCTTACTATAAACAAAAATAGGAGAAAACATTGGGGCTACAACCTGCTGTCTCTGCTACAGTCTACCCTTGAATATTCAAATACCCAAGTTCAAGCTTTTATGCAAAAACAGAACACACTCATCCTCTCTAAACTGAACCTTACCAAAGAGAGGACCAGCCAAGCCTGCTCAGAGACTACACCTACCTTGAACTTCAAGGTGACGCACAGTCCTAGCCCTCAGGTGTAGATGTGGCTCTCATTAACTGGAAAATTATAAAATGAGAGCAATTTGTCTCTCACCATATTAAGGTATAATCATATACAGTAGGAATAAGATTAGCAGAATAATAATTCACATTCGGAAAGAGGAAAATGACAAATACAGAAAGAACTGATCAAAAAGGAAAGATAAAATCCTATCATATGGTGACTAAGAAAACTCCTGTTCTGAGAACCGAATGAGGTCTTTGGTAAAATGATCTGGTAGCTTCTGGTTCAGCTCTTCAAGAGGAATGGAAATCTCTACCTTTTTTTTCCCCCCAAATCCCCGATGTTTTGACTTCTGAGGGATTTTCCCCTACTTTTTATCCTCAGTGGATATAGCAGAAGTTGACATTTCACTATGTGCCCTGCATAGGCCTGCACATTTTTCTCAGACTGACTCATATTGGAGCAAATTGGAGTCCAAGGGGGAGCTTTAAGTTTAAGTTGTCATAGTCTTTTACAGGCCAGGCTTGTGATTTCTTCAAGTACTCTTTGAAAGATCTTTTTTCTTCCTCAGGTCCATGTGCAGGCACCAACAGTCAAAGATCACCTCCAGAAATATTTTTTGAGCCTGAAGGGCATGTTTCTTTACTTACTGGCCTCCATGTTCTGCTTATTTCTCTTTCAAGGAACTGATGGTACCATGAGGCCATTTAAAGCAATAACTTTAATTGGAAAAGCAACACCTTAATTAGATTTTTTGTCAATGGCCTGGTTCTCATGGACAGGCAGATAATCATAGTAGGAGATGCTTGAAATGGTTTGGGTAACAGGTTTCTCTCTTTTTACAGCCGTCCTGTTGCAAACAACTGCATTCATTTCAGAACTGCGAGTAGTTGGTTTTGTCAATACTGTCAATGTGGTATTTTCACATTACCAGGTTCTAAGTTTACTTAGACATATCAAGTTCAAGAAGTGCTTGAATTTATGTTAATTGATTTCCACATACTTCAGTTACACATTTTCTAACAGCATTAGCCAGACAGAGATAAATTGGATACATTGGAATAAATATAGATGCATTTTCTGCAGGCTATTTTTCTAATATAATAGCAATTTAACAGTTTGAAGTGTCATTATCAAATGTGTAGTTTAACTCATACATTTTACAAATGCACAAACTAGGCCAAATCCAGTTTCAAACTAAGATATTTTATTCCATAAACAATGCAATATCTATCAAAAAGCACCATTGCACAATTGTTTGCGTAAATAAAACTGTCTTTGAACTTGATATGTTTTGAAAGTGGCCATACATTTTTGTATTCTGATTTGTTTTTCTGGCATATAGAACCTTTGAATCTTTAGAATTAAATATAATGAAAAAAAGAAAAGTGATGAAAGGTTGAGGACTGTATTTTTATTATCAATTTTTATTGCACTGATAAAAAATGAAAAAGAAGATTAAAAACTGATTTAAAAATTAATCCTTAAATCTCTTCTTCAAGTGATTTCAGTTTCCAATTAATAAGATGAGATTTTAAGATTTCATATTACATACAATGAGATTTGTGTTATTGTCTTGGTTGCTGCAAATAACCAGGGTTTAGTTTATTTTAAAAATAAAAATAATCCTTGAATCTCATTTTAGTAGGAGATTTGATGAGTAGGAAAGAGAAGTCACTAATCTGCATATTACTTACTTGTAGTCATACTGGCTCTCCCTTGGAAACAATATTTAGATATAAGATAGAGAAAAAAAGTGAATAGTCACAAATAAAAGACTATTTGCTAAGTCAGGAATAAAATTCTTGGGAACACTGATATTTTGGCAAGTTTACCACCTCACTTAATTATTTCTCAGATAACCTTGTGCTGGATGCCAAATTGGACCTTTCTAAAAACTGTTTGAGGAAAACTTAAATTCAAGTTTAAAACGTGTAGGAAATAAAAATGTCTGCACAGCATTTCTTTTGGATGTTATTCGTCAGGACCTTTCTCCTTCCAGATAGTAAAAAACGTCATTAACCTTTATAATAAATTATTGTCACAAATAAATATTCTGCCACTTTATTTGGGGGGAATTTATTGATCGTTTTCCTCCAGATTTAACACTGTACTAAGGCAAAGAGGTGCATAACCAGAAGAGTTTGTGACAAAATTTTACTTTCAGTAAGTTTAAAATATGCATATGCGGGCAAGATTCAAGCCTTTCGAGATTGACTAGCTACCAGTAATTTTCTAAGTAAATACAAAGATGAAAGTAGGGAATGAGCAAAAGTTTAGTACCAGGTAGATCTTTGTTTTATTATTGAATCTTTCACATATTAGTTGTATAATTATCCACAACTAACTCAAACACTGAATCTCGGTATTCTTATCTGTAAATTAGGGATAGTGGTATCTAACAGTGTTATTGTAAAAGTAAAGGTAATATGTTTAATATTTGTTGGTTAGTGAATATTCAATTCAATTAACACAAGAAGATAAAGTATTATTGCATAAATTAGATGTACGAAACAATTTAAAAATGTGAGAAAGTAGTAAAAGTCATCTTGTGCTATAATGCTGTTATAACCACATATAAAACCCAGGGGCAGTTTGGGGGAATTGTAGCAAACACTAATGAGGCATTAGATACTGTTATTATCCCCATTCCCCATTTTACAGATAAGGGAGTTGAGTCACAGAGAGCTTAATGATCTGCCTTAAGTTGAGTAGCTAAGAAGTAGATAGGTTACATTGTGCCCAGACACAAAGGCAAAGAGTTTAAATGCTTTATCCCACTGTCATCCTGCCTTCTTTGTTTCACATTTGGTAAGTTGCAAACAAAAACTTAAGCATTTTATTCTAAATGGTGTACAACACAATTAGCAAAACTAGAATTATATTTTTGAAACTACTGAGGCATTCAGAAAGGTGGAAAAAAGCAATCCTACATAAGATATAGGAAAATGAAACAAAGAAAATGGCAAAAAAAAAAACTTTAAAAAGAGAAAACACAAAATAAGAGAACTATATTAGTGCAAAACATGTTGCATTTATTATTTCATAAATGCAAACAGTATGAGTTCATCTACGAAAATGAAAAAAACTCTATAGAATTGATTAAAAGAAAAAGCTCAACCATATGCTCTGTATGACTTAAGCACTTTGCTGGAAATGACTCAGGCAGTTTAAAAGTAAAAGATTAACAATTTCATGAGTTAAATGCAAGCAAAAGGAAAATAATAATGAGATTATTCCAGACAACTCTTCAGTTCTTGACACATAAAACCAGAAACCTTGATGATTCTCATCAACTGTGAAGATTGTTTATTTTCATTAATCTAGTTTTTATCTCCATAGCAGGGCCAACCAGCTTTTCTCTTCCATTTTTCTCATATCATGTTGTCACTGACATCCAGCCAGCTTCCTCAGGCAGAAATCTGAGGGCCAGTTACTCCAATGTCTCCTTCACAAACTGCAAATCGGTGATTAGGTTCCATACCTAAATATCTCTTAAATTAATTATCTTCACTACATATTCACTCTACTATCATCCTTCATTCTCTTATAAGAATAATGCAACATTTTTTTAAATTAGCCTTTTTAATCCTGTCTTGCTTCCGCCAAAGCCATCCCCTACCCAATACCTTTATGTCTTAATTCAACAACATAACAAAAACAAATAAATCTAAGTTAAGTGCATATTGCATATTAGGCCTTGTACTGGAGCTAAGATGATGAATAAATCCTACACAGTCTCTGTCCTCAGAGAAGTTTTAGGCTGCTGGGAAATATACACACACACGTACGCTACCACTACCACATTACTTAAGTTCATAGTAAGAGCTGACCACGACAACCTAATGTTTCCTTCAACTTAACCAAACTTCAGATAGGCTTCTTCTTGCCTATGAAGCCCTGACCTCCCTCTCACTTCAGCCTCCACAGAATCCAGATAGCCTAATTAGAGAGGTCCATGACCTCCCTTTCCTTAGAGCACTTACTTAAAGAAAACTTCTAATTATAAATTAGTCTGATCCTTTGAGATTTAAATCTTTTTAAAAGCCTTCTGCCAGTTTCACAACCCAGGAATGTCTTTCTCAAGTACCTGGGAGCCAATTTTTTGAAATATAATCAAGGAAGATAGGGCCTCTATCTCCCAGTTTCGGTGAAATGGTAGGAGCTTAAGTTCTCTGGGGACCTTGCTGTAGTTGTAAAACTACCTCCTGCCCTGAAGATATGAGAAAGTGTACTTTTCATTTGGGTAAAGCCGATTATCAAACACAGATGGCCTAAGATCTCCCTCCCTCATCCACATCTTAAAAATTTCTCTGCCCTTTGTTTATGTGAAAATTGAGTTGAGACTGTGCTCTGGTTTCTCTACCCTATTTCAATAGCCTTGAAAAAAGTCTTCCTTCATTGTTTACCTCTATCCAGTGCAATTTTTGATTTGACAAACTTTAGGAAGAGACAACCTGGACTTGCATTCACCATCTTCACATGGATGGCTTCCTTTCATCCCCAGTATCAGTTCAGATATCACTTCTTCACAGTGGCTGTATCTAACCTGTTCTTTTTCTTCAGAGCACTTATCCTGAGTTGTAAATACATATCAACTTGTCTTTATTCCTTTAATTTCCTACAAGCTAAAGTTCAGCAAAGTGTCTGGCTCACACCAATACTTCAGCTGAATGAACACACGAACATGGACAATCTGGGGCTTTGAGACTAAGACAAGTGATTAGTAGGAGCTACTCAGGCAAAGGTGTAAGAGAAGAAATGAGATTAGAGTCTTGTAAGAAGAGAAAAACATATGGATACACGTCTTAAAGCAATAAGGAGCTTGATGCAATTCAGGAGCTTTGCAATAAACAATGCTAGATGGAGATTAGGATAATAAGGAAAGCTTCATGAGCTGAGGGTACTGAGATAAACTGGGGCTACATTGACCCAGACAATGTAAGTTAAAATCAGCTAAACAAATTTTTCTAGGACATAAATCTATATGTCTTTTCTCTGCTTTAAATCATACAACAGTCTCTCATTTGCTTCAGAAAGCCATACTATAACATGCAAGAGCCTTCATATTCTGCTTTCTGCTTACAAATCTAGGTTCTTCTTTTACCTTGCTCCTCATGGATCCCAAATTTCAGTTATACTAAACTGCTTGCAGTTCTCCTACTGTGCCAGGCTTCTTCTAATTTAGCTTTTGATGTATTGCTCTTTCTTTGACTTGACATTTGGCTAACATCTATCTATATTTTAGAATATAGCTCAACTGCTGAATATTCCTGCAAGATGTCTTCACCACTTTCCACTGCATTTAGGTTAAATGAACTTACCCTGTCCTGCTCAGTACTCATGGGACTGTCTCCATCATGTTACTCACCACGTACTTTCATACGTGTGGTTTAAAGTCTCTCTGCAAACTACCACCTTCTGCCACAACTACACTGTGAACCCTTGACTAGAGGAAGAAATGTGCACTAATTGTCTTTGTTTTCCCAGTACATCCCACCATGTCTGACATACAGTAGATACTGTAATTAATAAGTTAGTTTGTTATTGGATGAATGGTTAAGAAAATAAGTAGCTTCACAAAGGAATAGGGAAGGACACATTACCACTGCTTATACATTTGATCCTCTGCTCTGCAAGCAAAATCATTTGGCTGATGTGGGAGTGTGCCCTGCAGTGTGGCATCCTGTCAAGGATGGGTTCCCACCCAGCACCCTGAGCTGCGGGGATAGCCCTCCACCATCTGCAACCTTGAACTGGAATAAGCAGGTAAATAATTATGTTACTTGTTTTTATTAATTTGTCTTACTTGTATGTATGGCTTACATTTATTTCAAAGTTTAATATTAGAAGTACTTTGGTCTTCATCTAGAAGTATTGGTGATTCTAAATATCACCAATATTAGAAGTATGTTGGTCTTAAACTAGAGTCTAGTTTAAACTAGGGTTAAGCTTATATCAGTTATGGTTTCTTTATATGTTGTTTCCCTTAAAGTTACAGTTTCTCAAGAACCTACTGACAACGTTAAGTGAGGTCTTAATGTATTTCTAGCTTCTCTGCTTCCCTCTGAGTGAAGTTCAGATTTGAAATTATCATTTCATATCCAACATAGTAGCATTGACAAAATACCAATTATGTTATTCAATAATTCTTGGGCAATAAAAATTGAATGGGTTACATTCATGGATAGGTAAAGAGGATAGGGCTAAGAATGAGTCTAGAAATCTATATTTGCTTTATTTTGCTGTTGTAACAAATAGCCACAAATTAGTGACTTAAACCAGTACAAGTATATGATCTTACAAAGTTCAAAGTGGATCCAACTAAGCTAAAATCATGGCGTCAGTAAAGCTGCATTCTATCTGGAGGCTTTAAGGGACTATTGCTCATGTCACTCCAAACCTCCGTTTTCATCATCACATCTCCCTCTGTGACTCTCCTGCTTCCTTCTTTCCATGTGATTCTTTTTTAATTACAAAGACCATTGTGATTACATTGATCCCACCCAGATAATCCAGAATAATATCACCATGTCAAGACTCTTAATTTCATTTACAAAGTCTCTTTTACTACCTTTATTAATTTTCTTGGGCTACCATAACAAAATACCATATACTGAGTAGCTTAAACAATAAGACATTTATTCTTTCACAGTTTTGGAGGCTAGAAGTCTGAAATCATGTTTTTAACAAGTGCAGTTCTGGATGCTCTGAGGGAGTCTCCATTCCATGCTTATCTTGCAGCTTCTGGTGTATCCTCCCAATCTTTGATGCTTCTTGGCTTGTAGACTCTAACATAATATAGATACTCCTATCTCTGCCTCGATCCTCACATGGCATCTCCCCACTTTGTACATGTACAATTTGTACATGATCATCTTCCCTCTGAATGCCTCTGTGTTTCTCTTGTTATCAGGACATGAGACACTGGATCAGGACCCACACTAATCCAGTGTGACCCATATTAACTAATTGCATAAATACATGTACTATACCTACAACTCACTTCAGTTAGAAATGAAAAGCATCCACTGTAGATGGAATAATCCATCTAGAGTGGAAGTAACTACAGAAAAAAAACCACATAATTATATTATAGCAAGTGTTGTTGAGTTAATCAAGACACACACTCATTGCTACTGTATGTGTTTGCCCTTAGGCTTTTCATACAGCTCAGAGGATAGTAAAGTAGTTATTAATTTTATCAAATTACTCAAACTGTATAATAAATGCCTTGTTTTTTCCTCTTGCTCTGTGTATTTTATCTGCAGCTGATATATTTGTTGTACCGGAAGTACCAAAGACATCTTTGAAAATTTCTAAAGAAGTTATTCTGAATGAGGAAATAAAATATGACTATTTGCAATAGAATCAGCAAGAGGCATTTCTCTCTCTCTCTATATATATACACACACACACACACATATATTTAATAACAGGCCTTCAAAATAATTTCTTAGGGTTTATGATTTAGTTAAATAACTTTTTTAGAGAATAGTAGAATCCATGTTTATAAAACTAATGTTCTTGGGATATTTTAACAATTGTTGTATTTCTGTCATATCAGAATTTAAAAAGTTGAGCAGAGGAGCTAGTTCCTATGTAGCATCAAGACATTGCACTAGGAATATAGCCAAAGGTGAAGGAAGACTTGATGATCTGTCTCTTTCATCTCCCTATTACTATTTCTCCCTATTACTAACTATTGTTATAAATGGGGACGTTTGACCTGTTTCTAAGTCTGGAGGCTATTTTAATGGCAAATACAATAGTTTTTCTATGTTGCCTATTATTTTATTTCTGTTGTCTCACAAAAGTCTTAAAAATATGTATATATATAATTTTATATTTGTATACACACACACATATATATATATATTCAATACTACTGAATATACATACTAAATTCTGGTTTTCAATACATGATTATACTGAAATAGGGATTAGGTAAAGAGTCAGAAATAGAATTTGTTATCTGGGTCAAAAATGTGACAGAAATGACTGTGGTTGGAAAAATATGGTTTTGCCCAGTTTTCTGTGTTATTTTAGAAAGGGGTTGCATGAAAGGTTAATACTATTTGTTAATCTTGACTAAGGAAGAGAAACACAGACAAGTGAAGCTAATTTAGAAGATCAGGACAAAAGCATAGATATAGATCTGATTATATGTGTCCGTGTGTGTATGCAAATAATAGTCATCTGTCACATTTATCAAGTTTTATTTAAACTTGAAAAATATAATAAATTAATACAGCATTTCTCTAAGTTCCTAATTCTGTTAAACCAATTGTCTTTCTAACAATTAGTAAATATTGGTTTGAAAAGTTAGAATTGCTATTTTAATTGGTAGATCTAGGAATGTTTTAATGTATTTAAAAAAAAAAAGAATGAAACTTTTACTCACACCTAATAATAAACACAGGAGCAGAATTCAAGAAGTAAAGTAACTTCCCTCCTAAACATTCGGGTCTTCTCCCGGAAAAGACAAGTAGAGAATGGAATGTAATTTCTAAAATGGATCCTTTACAAAGTCACATTGTGCTTCTTAATGACACATAGTTCCTGATAAGCATTCCAAATTACAAGGTAGTTGTTTAAATAGAATTTAAACCAAGGGCTTCATTGACATGCTTCCTAAAACAAGGGGCTCTTTTAATTACAAAAATCTATGCTGCTTTCTTTCCTGGCAGCGTTTGTGGGGGCTCCCTTAGAAAATTCTCACAGGCAGCCAAATGCAGGAAACACACAGAGGTCCTTTGCTTTGCATAGTTGCCTAACACTCCACACTCTACATATCCATAAACCTTCCAAAGGCCAGGAATCAATGAATGTGTTCCTATCAGATTTTAAATCGTCAAGGGAATGAACAAAACGGAATACATGTTACTTTATTTTCACTTTTTATTGTTCTATAGCCATATGACACAAGATATTGGCTCACTTGGTCTCTGTTCACTATACTTCAGGGGAGGACAGTAAAGATAATTAGCAAAAGTACTGTTCATTACCAATTATACCTTCTACCTTAATCAGATTTGATTTTTCTCTCCCACCACAAAAATTCTGATGAGTTGTGTACCTATATATATGCATGTGTTGGATTCACCTACATAACCTCCTTTTGTCTACCCAGAGATCATCCCTCGTTTGAACCTTTACAATTTCTGTAGATTGACAGCCCAATAATTATCTGGTCCATATGTTTTCACTTAACATTGGTGCTGCTGACATATCTGTATTGTTTCTGAAATAGTGTAATATTTCAATATTAATAATACAGAGATCCTGTGTACCTTTTTTCCCAGTTTTCTCCAGTGGTAATATCTTGCAAAAATATACCAGAATATCAAAATCAGAATACTGATATTGATATAACCCACCTATTTTATTGAGATTTTCCTGGTTTTACTTGTGTGTGTGTGCATATGTGTATTTAGTTCTATACAATGTTAACATATGTGTAGATTTGCATATTTACCACCATAGTCAAGATACAGAATAGTTCTATCAAAACAAAAGTCCTTTGTTTAACACCTTGATAACTACACTCACCCTTCTATATCCCACTTTGATATCTATAATCCCTGGTTGTTATATTTAGTTTTATAATTACTTTTTATTTATTGCCAGAACTACTGATTTTATTGTTATTGATATACTTCATTTTTAAATAAATTTAATGTAAATTAGCATAAAATATGTGCAGATTTAGAAAACATTTAAAGAAAATTACAATACAGGTTAATGGGGACTTGAAAAATGTATGAAAAATCAACAAAGTTTAGGAAATATTGCACTTGGTGATAATATGGGGAGAGTTAATGAAATAGGCTGAAGAAATTACTTAAATCAGAGCATATGTTGTACATTCAGGGGTTAGAGCAATGATTCTCAAACTTTAGTGTGCTTAAGCACCCATCAAAATCACCTGGAATTGTTAAACACTGATTACTAGGCACCATTCCCAGAGTTTCTGACACAGTAGGTCTGAAGTCGGATCTTGGAATTTTCATTTCCAAAAAATTTCCAGATGGTGTTAAGCTGCTAGTCACATTTTGGAAACCACTGGAGTAGGCTTCTGTTGGGTAAGGCTCATGTTGAATACTGGGACTGAGAAGTAGGAGCTCAAATGAAGGAAGATGACTGTCTGAGAAGTCTTTATGTTAACAGGCAATGTGAAACAATTATAGGTTTCAGAAGCAAAGACATGTGGCTAAGGCAGACTTTAGAAAGAATAATGTAGTGATCACTGAGCTAAACAATTTGAGAGCAAAATCTATGAAAATAGATTCAGAGGCAGAGCAACATGGCAGAATAGAAGGCTTCACTGATCATCCCCTCATCCACGAGGATACCAACTCAACTACCTACGCAGAAAAATACACCTTCATAAGAACGAAAAATTAGGTGAGCACTCATAGTACCCGATTTTAACTTCATATTGCTGAGACACTAAAGAGATAGGAAAAACAGTCCTGAATCACTGATGCCAGCCCTCTTTTAACCACTGGTAGCAGCTGCCTAGCACAGAGAGCATCCCTGGGCACTGGGAGAGGGAGAGCACAGAAATTGTTAGGCATTGAACTCAGTGCTGTTCTGTTGGAGCAGATGGGAAAACCACACCAAACTTAGGTGACACCTGCCCATGGAGGGAGCATTTAAACCAGCTCTAGCCGGAGGGGAATTGCAGATCCCAGCAGTCGTCTGAACTTGAGTTGCTGCAAACCTTCCACCAAGACCTACAGTGCTGTGTCTCCAAGTAAACATGAAAGGCAGTCTAAGCCATAAAGACTGCAACTCTGAGGTGAGCCCTAGTGCTGAACTAGGCCAAGAGACAGTGGAATGGAGTGGTATACAACAAGCTGAGACACCAGCTGGGGCAGCCAAAAAGGTGCTGACAAAACCCTACTCCTAACCCCAGGCTTTACGAAAGAGACTCCTTTCTTCCACTTGAGAATAGGAGAGAGAAGAGTGGGGAGGACTGTGTCTTGCATCTTGGATACCAGCTCAGTCAAGGCAGGATAGGGCACCAGTCAAAGTTGTGTTCTAAGGACCCTGTTCTAAGTCCTGTCTCCCAGATGACATTTCTAGACATGCCGGGAGCCAGGAGAGAACCCACTGCCTTGAAGGAAAGGAAACAGTCCTGGCAACATTTATCACCTGCTAACTGAAGATCCCTTGAGCCCTGAATAATTAGCAGTGATACCTAGGTACTACACAAAAGGTTCTGGGTCAACCTCTGAGATTTGCTGGCTTCAGATGAGACTCAGCTCATTACCAAATGTGATGGCTATGGGACAAAACTCCTTCTGCTTGAGAAAAGCAGAGAAAAAAGTAAAGGGGACTTTGCCTTGCACCTAAGGTCGGATCGTGGCCATAGAGGTATAGAGCACCAAGTGGGCCTTTGAGGTCCCTAATTACAGGACTTGACCCTTGGATGGCATTTCTGGACCAGCCCTGGGCCAGAGGGGAGCCCAAAGCCCTTAAAGGGTGAGATCTAGGGCAGGCAGCATTCACCACCAGTTGACTGAAAAGACCTTGAGCCTTAAGGAAACATCAGCAGTAGCCTAGCAGTAGTCCGTGTGGCCTGGGGTGGTGGTGGCTACAGAATGAGACTCTTCTGCCTTTGGAAAGGGGAAGGATGAGAGGGAAGGACTGTGTTTTGTGATTTCAGTGCCAGTTAGCCACAGTACAATAGAACACCACGTAGACCTCTAAGGTTTTGTATCCTAGTCCCTGACTCCAAGACAGCATCTCTCAACCCACCCAGTACTTGGGGGACCTCACTATGCTGAAGGGAAGAACATAGACATGAATGGCTTTGCCACCAGCTTATTGTAGAGTCCTAGGGTCTTGACCAAACATAGGCAGTAAGCCAGGGAGTGGTTACAGCAGGTCGTTGGTGAGACCCAGGGCTGTGCTGGCTTCAGGTCTCACCTAGCATGTCATAGTGGTGGTGACCACAGGGGTGCTTGTGTCATTCCAACCCCAGCTTTAGACGGCTCAGAACAGAGGGAGAGAGATACTGTTTGCTTGGGAGAAAGTAAGGGAAGACAACAAGAGTCTCTGCATGGTAAGCCAGATAATTTTCCCTAATCTTGTTCAAGACCATCTACAAGTCTTCAAGAACCACAGTGTCACTGGCCTTCAGATGCCTCCTAAAGCAATATACCTTAGATCACAATACCCAAATCCTTTCAAATATCTGAAAAGCCTTCCCAAGAAGGACAGAAAGAAATAATCACAGACAGTGAAGACTACAATAAATACCTAATTCTTCAATGCCCAGATACTGAAGAACATCTATCAGCATCAATACCAACCAGAAAAACATGACTTTACCAAATAAACTAAATAAGGCACTAGCAACCAATCCTGGAGAAGCAGAGATATGTGACTTTGCAGACAGAGAATTCAAAATAGATATGTTGAGACAACTCAAAGAAATTCAGAATAACGCAGAGAAGGAATTCAGAATTTTATCCAATAAATTTGACAGAGGTTGAAATAACTAAAAAGAATCAAGCAGAAATTCTGTAGCTGAAAAATGCAATTGGTATACTGAAGAATGCATTGGAATCCTTAGCACAATGAATCAAGCAGAAGAAACAATTAATGAGCTTGCAGACATGCTATTTGAAATTACACAGAGGAAATGGAAAATGAATTTTAAAAAGTGAAGCACACCTACAGGACCTAGAAAATAGCCTCAAAAGGGCAAGTTATTGGCCTTAAAGAGCAGGTAGGATAGGGTTAGAAAGTTTATTCAAAGGAATAAAAATACAGAAATTCCCAAACCTAGAGAAAGGTATCAATATAAAAGTACAAGAAGGTTATAGAACACCAAACAGATTTAACTCAAAGATTACCTCAAGGCATTTAGTAGTCAAACTCCCAAAGGTCAAGTATGAGGAAAGGATCTGAAAAGCAGCAAGAAAAAAAAAATAACATAGAATGGAGAACCAATACATCTAGCAGCAGAGTTTTCAGTGGAAACTCAAAAGCCAGAAGAGAGTGACATGACATAAAGAGCTGACAAAAAGAAAAAAAAAAAAAAAGCTTTTACCCTAGATCAGCATATACAAAAAAACATTCTTCAAACATGAAGGAGAAATAAAGACATTAGCTGACAAACAAACACTGAAGGACTTCATCAAAACTAGTTCTGTCCTATAAGAAATGCTAAAGGGAGTATTTTAATCAGAATGAAAAAACATTAGTAAGCAATAAGTAATCACCTGAAGCTAGAAAACTCACTGGTAATAGTAAGTACACATACTATTATAACACTAACCACAGTTAGTAGAAATGAGTTCACCATTTCTATTAAAAAACTGGGTAGAAATTAGTTCATAATTTCTATTAAATGGTAAACCAATAAAAAATAATAAGTTGTTGTAGTTACTATTTTTGATGGGTTTATCATTTCTACTAAATGATGTAGAACCCATTCTTTCTTCAAAACTCAGCTTCTGGGCTGTGAGTTCGAGAAAGGAAGGCTTTTGCTGCCAGTACTACACTTTTGACTGCTCTCTGAGTGAGCCCCAGTTCAACAGAGTGGAAATTTTCCTGGATATAGGTATGAGGTTTATTTCCTTTTACAATGTTAGTGATGGGAGCCATATCTTTAGATTCACCAAAAATTTTATTAGAAAACCACTCTGTTCGTTTTTTGCTCATAAATGTGAAGCTCAAGAGGATCAGAGCTTCCTGATTATCTGTCCTGTGATTAATACAGGTACTCCAGTCCCACAATTTATTCTGGGGAAGGTAAATAAACATGTGAATGCAATCATCTATCAGAAGTTTCTGTGTGCCCATAGCCAGAGCTAAGAACTTTTTTGCTAGATACACATATTGTACAAAGGGATAGAAGGGAAATATTGGTCATTTTGTAAACCATGAACAGAAAGTAATTATATTAGTTTGGGGGAAAATTGCATTTTCCATATAAAGTGATCTGTTGCCTACAAGAAACATACCTCACCTATAAAGACACACATGTACTGAAAATAAAAAAAAATAAAAATATATTATATGTGCCAATGCAAACAAAAAAGATTGAGTCACTAAACTTATATCATTTCTACTAAATGATAAACCAATAAAAAATAACTACAACAACAACTTTTCAAAACACAGTACAATAAGATATAAATAGAAACAAAAATAAATTTAGAAGCAAGAAATTAAAGCAGAGAGCTTTTATTAGTTTCCTTTTTTTTGGTTTGTTTATTTACACAAACAGTGTTCAGTTGTTGTGAGGTTAAAATAATGGGTTATAAGATAGTATTTGCAAGCACCATGGTAACTTCAAACCAAAAATCGTACAATGGATACACACACAAAAAAAGCAAGAAACTAAATTATATCACCAGAGAAAATTATGTTCAATGAAAGATAACAGGAAGGAAAGAAAGAAGGAGAATACCATGAAACAATCAGAAAACAAATAACAAAATAGCAGATGTAAGTAGTAATAACATTGTATGTAAATAGACTAAACTCTCCAGTCAAAAGACACAGACTGAATGAGTGGATGAATAAACAAGGCCCACTGATCTGTTGCCTACAAGAAACACACTTCACCTATAAAGACAAATATGTACTGAAAATAAAGACATAAGAAAAGATATACTATGTGCCAATGGAAACCAAAAAAAGAACAGGAGTCACTATACCTATGTCAGAAAAAATAGATTTCAACACAAAAACTATAAGACACAAAGAAGGTCACTACATAATGTTAATGGGGTCAATTCAGCAAGAGGATATAACAATTTAAATATATATGCACCCAACACTGGAGTACCCAGATACCTAAAGCAAATATTATTAGAGCTAAAGAGAGAGGATAGTTGGCTTGGTGTGGCTGCAAGATGTTCGAATTGGAACAGCTCTGGTTTGCAGCTCCCAGAGAGATCAGCACAGAAGGTGTTTAATTATTGCATTTCCAACTGAGATAGCCAGCTCCTCTCACCGGGACTGCTTAGACAGTGGGTGCAGCCCACAAAGGGGAAACCGAAGCAGGGTGTTGTGACACCTCACCCAGGACGCACAGGGGGTCGGGGAACTCCCTCCCCTAGCCAAGGGAAGCCATGAGGGACTGTGCCATGAGGAACAGTGCATTCTGGCCCAGATTCTATGCTTTTCCCATGGTCTTCTCAACCCACAGACCAGGAGATTCCCTCGGGTGCCTATGCCACCAGGGCCCTGGCTTTCAAGCACAAAACAGGCGGCTGTTTGTGCAGATACTGAACTAGCTGCAGTTTTTTTTTGTTTTTTCATACCCCAGTGACACGTGGAACACCAGTGAGACAGAGCCATTCACTCCCCTGGAAATGGGGTGGAAGCCAGGGAGCCAAGTGGTCTTGCTCAGTGGAACCCACCCCTACAGAGCCCAGCAAACTAAGATCCACTGGCTTGCAATTCTTGCTGTCAGCACAGCAGTTCTCGCTACCAGGCACAGCAAGTCAACCTGGGATGCTTGAGCTTGGTGTGGGGAGGGGCGTCCGCCATTACTGAGGCTTGAGTAGGCAGTTTTCCCCTCACAGTGTAAACGAAGCCACCAGGAAGAAATTCAAACTGGGCAAAGCCCACTGCAGCTTGGCAAAGCTGCTGTAGCCAGACTACCTCTCTAGATTCCTCCTCTCTTGGCAAGGCATCTCTGAAAGAAAGGCAGCAGCCCCAGTCAGAGGCTTATAGATAAAACTCCCATTTCCCTGGGACAGGGCACCTGGGGGAAGGGGCGGCAGTGGGCGCAGCTTCAGCAGACTCAAGCGTTCCTGGCTGTCAGCTCTGAAGAGAGCAGCAGATCACCCAGCACAGAGCTTGAGCTCTGCTAAGGGACAGATGGCCACCTCAAATGGGTCCCTAACCTCCCTGCCTCCTGACTGGGAGACACCTCCCAGCAGGGGTCAACAGATGCCTCATACAGGAGAGCTGTGACTGTAATCTGGTGAGTGCCCTCTGGGACGAAGCTTCCAGAGGAAGGAACAGGCAGCAATCTTTGCTATTCTGTATCCTCCACTGGTGATACCCACAAAAATGAGGTCTCGAGTAGAACTCCAGCAAACTCCAGCAGACCTGCAGCAGAGGGGCCTGACTGTTAGAAGGAAAACAAACAAACAGAAAGGAATAGCATCAACATCAACAAAAAGGATGTCCACACAGAAACCCCATCTGAAGGTCACCAACATCCAAGACCAAAGGTAGGTAATTCCACAAAGATGAGGAAAAACCAGTGCAAATAGGCTGAAAATTCCAAAAACCAGAACGCCTCTTCTCCTCCAAAGGATCACAGCTTCTGGCCAGCAAGAGAACAAAAGCGGATGGAAAATGAGTTTGACAAATTGACAGAAGTAAACTTCAGGAGGTGGGTAACAACAAATTCCTCTGAGCCAAAGGAGCATTTTCTAACCCAATGCAAGGAAGCTAAGAACCTTGAAAAAAGCTTAGAAAAAGGGTTAGAGGAATTTCTAACTGGAATAACCAGTTTAGAGAAGAACATAAATGACCTGATGGAGCTGAAAAACACAGCACAAGAACTTAGTAAAGCATACACAAGTATCGATAGCCCAATCTATCAAGCAGAAGAAAGGATATCAGAGATTGAAGATCAACTTAATGGAACAAAGTGTGAAGAAAAGATTAGAGAAAAAAGAAAAGGATTGCACAAAGCCTCCAAGAAATATGGGACTATATGAAAAGACCAAACCTACATTTGATTGGTGTACCTGAAAGCGGCGGGAGAAGAGAACCAAGTTGGAAAACACTCTTCATGACATTATTCAGGAGAACTTCCCCAACCTAGCAAGACAGGCTGACATTCAAATTCAGGAAATACAGAGAACACCACAAAGATACTCCTCTAGAAGAGCAACACCAAGACACATAATTGTCAGATTCACCAAGATTGAAATGAAGGAAAAAATGTTAAGGGCAGCCAGAGAGAAAGGTTGGGTTACCCACAAAGGGAAGCCCATTAGACTAACAGCACATCTCTCTGCAGAAACCCTAGAAACCAGAAGAGAGTGGGGCCAATATTCAACATTCTTAAATAATTTTCAACCCAGAATTTCATATCCAGCCAACTTAAGCTTCATAAGCAAAGGAGAAATGAAATGCTTTACAGACAAGCAAATGCTGAGAAATTTTGTCACCACCCGGCCTTCCTTACAAAAGCTCCTGAAGGGAGCACTAAATATGGAAAGGAAAAACCAGTACCAGCCACTGCAAAAACATGCCAAATTGTAAAGACCATTGACACTATGAAGAAACTGCCTCAAGTAACAGGAAAAATAACCAGCTAGTATCATAATGAGAGGAACAAACTCACACATAACAATATTAACCTTAAATGCAAATGGGCTAAATGCCCCAAATAAAAGACATATACTGGCAAATTGGATAAAGAGTAAAGACCCATTGGTATGCTGTATTCAGGAGACATGTCTCATGGGCAAAGACACACATAGGCTCAAAATAAAGGGATGAAGAAATATATGCCAAGCAAATGGAAAGAAAAAAAAAAAGCAGGGGTTGCAATCCTAGTCTCTGATAAGACAGACTTTAAACCAACAAAGATCAAAAAGGACAAAGAAGGGCATTACATAATGGCAAAGGGATCAATGCAACAAGAGGAGCTAACTATCCTAAATATATATGCACCCAATACAGGAGCACCCAGATTCACAAAGCAAGTTCTTAGTGACTTACAAAGACACTTAGACTCCCATGCAATAGTAGTAGGAGACTTTAACACCCCACTGTCAATATTAGACAGAAAATTAATAAGGATATTCAGGACTTGAACTCAACTCTGGACCAAGCAGACCTAATAGACATCTACAGAACTCTCCACCCCAAACTAACAAAATATCCATTCTTCTCAGCACCACATTGCACCTATTCTAAAATTGACCACATAATTCGAAGTAAAACACTCCTTACCAAATGTAAAAGAATGGAAATTATAACAAACAGTCTCTCAGAACACAGAGCAATCAAATTAAAACTCAGGATTAAGAAACTCACTCAAAATCGCACAACTACATGGAAACTGAACCATCTGCTCCTGAATGACTACTGGGTAAATAACAAAATTAAGGCAGAAATAAATAAGTTATTTCAAACCAATGAGAAAAAAGACACAATGTACCAGAATCTCTGAGACACAGCTAAAGCAGTGTTTAGATTGAAATTTATAGCACTAAATGCCCACAGGAGACAGCAGGAAAGATCTAAAATCGATACCCTAACATCACAATAAAAAGAAGTAGAGAAGTAAGAGCAAACAAATTCAAAAGCTAGCAGAAGACAAGAAAAAACTAACATCAGAGCAGAACTAACGGAGATAGAGACATGAAAAAGCCTTCACAAAATCAATGAATCCAGGAGCTGGTTTTTTGAAAAGATCAACAAAATAGATAGACTGCTAGCCAGACTAATGAAGAAGAAAAGAGAGAAGAATCAAATAGACAGTAAAAAGTGATAAAAGTTAATATCACCACTGATCTCAGAGAAATACAAACTACTGTAAGAGAATACTATAAACACCTCTATGCAAATAAGTTAGAAAATCCAGGAGAAATGGATAAATTCCTGGACACATACACCCTCTCAAGACTAAACCAGGAAGAAGTTAAATCCCTAAATAGACCAATAACAAGTTCTGAAATCGAGGCAGTAATTAATAGCCTACCAACCAAAAAACAAAGCCCAGGACCAGATGGATTCACAGCCAAATTCTACCAGAGGTACAAAGAGGAGCTGTTACCATTCCTTCTGAAAGTATCCCAAACAATAGAAAAAGAGGGACACCTCCCTAACTCATTTTATGAAGCCACCATCATCATCCTGATACCAAAACCTTGCATAGACACACACAAAAAAGAAAATTTCAGGCCACTATCCCTGATGAACTTTGATGTGAAAATCCCCAATAAAATACTGGCAAACCGAATCCAGCAGCACATCAAAAAGCTTATCCACTATGACCAAGACGGCTTCATCTCTGGCATGCAAGGCTGTTCAACATATGCAAATCAATAAACATATTCCATCACATAAATAGAACGAATGACAGAAATCACATGATTATTTCAACAGATGCAGAATAGGCCTTAAATAAAATCCAACACCCCTTCATGATAAAAACTTTCAGTAAACTAGGTATTGATGGAATGTATCTCAAAATAGTAAGAGTTAATTATGAAAATCCCACAGCCAATATTATACTGAATGGGCAAAAGCTGGAAGCATTCCCTTTGAGAACCAGCACAAGACAAGGATGCCCTCTCTCACCACTCCTATTCAACATAGTGTTGGAAGTTCTAGCCAGGGCAATCAGGCAAGAGAAAGAAATAAAGGGTATTCAAATAGGAAGAGAGGAAGTCAAATTGTCTCTATTTGCAGATGACATGATTGTATAGAATACCTCATCATCTCAGCCCCAAATCTCTTTAAGCTGATTACCAACTTCAGCAAAGTCTCAGGATACAAAATCAATGTGCAAAAATCAGAAGCATTCCTATACATGAACAATAGACAGAGAGCCAAATCACGAGTGAACTCCCATTCACAATAGCCACAAAGAGGTTAAAATACCCAGGAGTACAGCTAACAAGGGATGTGCAGGACCTCTTCAAGGTGAACTACAAATCACTGCTCAAGGAAATAGGAGAGAACACAAATAGAAAAACATTCTATGCTCACGGATAGGAAGAATCACTATCGTGAAAATGGCCATACTGCCCAAAGTAATTTATAGATTCAGTGCTATCCCCATCAAACTCCCATTGACTTTCTTCACAGAATTATAAAAAAACTACTTTAAATTTCATATGGAACTAAAAAAGAGCCCATATAGCCAAGAAAATCCTAAGCAAAAAGAACACAGCTGGAGGCATCATGCTAACTGACTTCAAACTAATACTACAAGGATACAGTAACCAATACAGCGTGGTACTGGTACCAAAACAGATATATAGACCAATGGAACAGAACAGAGGCCTCAGAAATGACACCACATATCTAAAAACGTCTGATCTTTGACAAACCTGACAAAAACAAGAAATGGGGAAAGGATTCCCTGTTTAATAAATGGTGTTGTGAAAACTGGCTAGCCAGATGCAGAAAACTGAAACCAGACCCTTTCCTTACACTTTATACAAAAATTAACTCAAGATAGATTAAAGACTTAAATGTAACATTTAAAACCATAAAAACCTTAGAGGAAAACCTAGGTCAGTACCATTCAGGATATAGGCATGGGCAAAGACTTCATGAGTAACACACCAAAGCAGTGACAGCAAAAGCCAAAATTGGCAAATGGGATCTAATGAAACTAAAGAGCTTCTGCACAGCAAAAAAAAACCTATCAGAGTGAACAGGCAACCTACAGAATGGGAGAAAATGTTTGCAATCTATCCATCTGTCAAAGGGCTAATATCCAGAATCTACAAGGAGCTTAAACAAATTTACAAGAAAAAAACAACCCCATCCAAAAGTGGGCGAAGGATATGAATATACACTTCTCAAAAGAAGACATTTATGTGGCCAACAAACATATTAAATAAAAACTCATCATTACTGGTCATTAGAGAAATGCAAATCAAAACCACAATTGAGATACCATCTCATGCCAGTTATAATGGTGATCACTAAAATGTCAGGAAACCACAGATGCTGGAGAGGATGTGGAGAAATAGGAATGCTTTTACACTGTTGGTGGGACTGTAAATTAGTTCAATTATTGTGGAAGACAGTGTGGCAATTCTTCAAGAATCTAGAACCAGAAATGCCATTTGACTCAGCAATCCCATTACTGGGTACATACCCAAAGGATTATAAATCTTTCTACTATAAATAGCCATGCACAAGTATGTTTATTGCAGCACTGTTCACATTAGTGAAGACTTGGAACCAACCCAAATGCATATCAATGATAGACTGGATAAAGAAAATGTGGCACATATACACCATGGAATACTATGAATACTTGAAAAAGGATGAGTTCATGTCCTTTGCAGGGACATGGATGAAGCTGTAAACCATCATTCTCAGCAAACTAACAGAGGAGCAGAAAACCAAACACTGCATGTTCTCACTCATGGGTTGGAGTTGAACAATGAGAACAGATGGACACAGGGAGGGGAACATCACACACTGGGGCCTGTTGGGAGGTGAGGGGCTAGGGAAAGGATAGCATTAGGAGAAATACCTAATGTGGATGACGGTTTGATGAGTACAGCAAACCACCATGGCACGTGTATACCTATGTAACAAACCTTCATGTTCTGCACATGCATTCCAGAACTTAAAGTGTAATAATAATAATAATAATAATGATAATAAAAGAGAGAGAGAGAGATCGGCCCCAATACAAAAATAACTGGCAACTTCAAAATCCCACTTTCAGCACTGGACACATCTTCCAAGCAGAAAATCAACAAAGACACATTGGACTTAATCTGCACTATTGAACAAATGGATATAATATGTATTTGCAGAACATTTCATACAGTGGTTGCAGAATACGCTTTTTTTTTTCCTCAGCATGTGGAACATTCTCAAGGATATACCACATGTTAGGTCACAAAACAAGTCATAAATCATTTTTGAAAATTGAAGTTATATCAAGCTTCTTCTCTGACCACAATGGAATAAAACTAGAAAATAATAAGAAAGAATTATGAAAACTATATAAATACATGGAAATTAAACCCTATGCTCCTGAATGACCAGTGGGTCAGTGTAGAATTTGAGAAGAAAGTTGAAAATTTGTAGAAACAAATAATGATGGAACCACAACATATCAAACTTACGGAATACAGCAAAAGCAGTACTAAGAGGGACTTTTATAGCTATAACTGCCTACATAAAAAATAAATAGGAAAACTTTAAACAATCTAATGATCCATCTTAAAGAACTAGAAAAGCAGGAGCAAACTGAACTAAAAATTAGTAGAAGAAAATAAATAATAAAGATCAGAAAAGAAATAAATGAAATTGAAATAAAATACAAAAGGTCAATAAAACAAAAAGTTTTTTTTTTGAAAAGTTAATAAAAATTCTGTACAAACCTTTAGCCAGATATTTTTTAAAAAAGAAGGAAGATCCACATAAATAAAATCAGGAATGAAAAAGGAGATATTACAACTGATATTGCAGTAATCCAAAGGATCATTAGTGGCTACTCTGAGCAGCTATATGCCAATAAATTGGAAAAATCTAGAAGAAATGGAAAAATTCCTAGACACATACAAATTAACCCAGGAAGAAATACAAAACCTGAACAGACCAACAACAAGAAATGAGATAGAAGCCATAATAAAAATTCTCCCAGTAAAGAAAAGCCTGGGACCCCGTGGCTTCACTGATGAATTTTACCAAACATTTAAGAAGTAACACCAGTCCTACTCAAACTATTCTGAAAACTAAAGGAGGAGGGAATACTTCTAATCTAATTCTACAAGGCCAGTTACTCTGATATGAAACCCAGCATAAGATACATCCAAAAAAGAAAACTACAGGTCAATATCTCTGATAAATATTGATATAAAAATCCTCAACAAAATGCTAGCAAACCGAGTTGAACAATGCATTGGAAAGATCATTCATAATGACCAATTGGGGTTTATCCTCAGGATGCAAGGATGGCTCAATATATGTAAGATATTGATGGTTCAATAATCAATCAATGTGATACTTCATATGAACAGAATGAAGGATGAAAAACATATGATCATTTCAACTGATGTTGAAATAGCATTTGATAAAATCTAACATCACTTCATAATAAAAACACCCATAGAACAGAGGATAGAAGGAATGCCTTCAGCATAATAAAAGCCATGTATGGTAGACCCACAGCTAGTATCTTACCAAATGGGAAAAACTGAAAGCCTTTCCTCTGAGATTTAGAACATGACGGGGATGCCCACTCTCACCACTGTTATTTGACATAGTACTGCAAGTCCTAGCTAGAGCAATCAGAAAAGAGAAGGACATAAAGGGCATCCAAATTGGAAAGGAAGACGTCAAATTATCCTTGTTTTCAGCTGTTATAATCTTATATTTGGAAAAACCTAAAGACTCCACAAACAACTATTGGAACTGATGAACAAAGTCAAAAAAGTTGCAGGATACAAGATTAACATACAAAAATTAGTAGCATTTCTGTATGCCAACAGTGAACAATCTGTAAAAGAAATAAAAATCCCATTTACAATAGCCACAATTAAATATGTAAGAATTAACATAATGAAAAAAGCAAAAGGCCCCTATAATGACAACTACAAAACAGTAATTACGGAAATTGAAGAAGACACCAAAAAAATGGAAAGAGCTTCCGATTTCATGGATTGGAAGAATCAATATTTTTAAAATGTCCATACTATCCAAAGCAATCTACAAATTCAGTGAAATCCCTATCAAAATACCAATGACATTATTAACAGAAACAGAAAAAAAAAAAACTCTAAAATTTATATGCAACCACGAAAGGCCCAGAATAACCAAAGCTATCCTAAGCAACAAGAACAAAACTGGAAGAATTACATTATTTGACTTCAAATTATACTACACAGCTGTAGTAACCAAAATACAGTGTACTTTCATAAAAACAGACACACAGACCAATGTAAGACAATAGAGAACAAAGAAACAAATCCACACCCAGTAAACTCACTTTTAACAAGGGTGCCAAGAACATACACTGGAAAAAAGACAGTCTCTCAATAATGGTGCTAGGAAAACAAGATATCTATATGCAAAAAAAAAAAAAAATGAAACTAGACCCTTATCTCTTGCCATATACAAAATCAAATCAAAACGGATTATAGATTTATAATTAAGACCTCAAACTGTGAAACTACTACAAGAAAATATTGGGGAAAATCTCCAGGACATTGGTCTGGGCAAAAATTTCTTGAGCGATACCCCACAAGCACATGCAACCAAAGCAAAAAATGGACAAATGGAATCCCATCAAGTGAAAAACCTTCTGCACAGCAAAGGATATAACCAACAAAGTGAAGAGACAACCCACAGAATGGGAGAAAGTATTTGTAAACTATGAATCTGACAAAGGATTCATAACCAAAATATATAAGGAGCACAAACAAGTCTATAGGAATAAATCTAATAATCCGATCAAAATATGTACAAAAGATTTAAACAGACATTTCTCAAAAGAGGACATACAGATGGCCAACAGGCATATGAAAAGGTATTCAGCATCTATGGTCATGAGGGAAAAACAAAACTACAATGAGATATGATCTCACTCGTTTAAATGGCTTCTATCAAAAAAAAAAAAAAAGGCAATAATAAATCCTGGCAAGGTTGTGGAGAAAAGGGAGCCCTGGTACACTGTTGGTGGAAATGTAAATTAGTACAACCACTATGGAGGACAGCTTGGAGGTTCCTCAAAAAACTAAAAACTACCATATGATTCAGCAATCCCCACTGCTGGATATATCAGTATATCTGTCAGTATATCAAAAAGATACCTGCACCCCTGTGTTTGTTGAAGCACTGTTCACAATAGCTAAGATTTGGAAGCCACATAAGTGTCCATCAACAGCTGAATGGATAAAGAAAATGTGGTACATGTATGCATTGGAGTACTATTCAGCCGTAAAAAAAGGACACCCTGTCATTTGCAACAACATGAATGGAACTGGAGATTATTATGTTAAGTGAAATAAGCCAGGCATGGGAGGACAAACATCACATGTTCTCACTTATTTGTGAAACCTAAAATCCAAAACAATTGAACTAATGGCCACAGAGTGTAGAAGGATGGTTACCAGAAGCTGAGAAGGGTAGTGGAAGGCTGCAGAGGAGGTCGGTTTAGTTAATGGGTAAAAAAAAAAAAAAAACAGTTAGAAAGAATGAGCAAGACATACTATTTAATAGCATAACAGGGCAACTATAGTCAATAATAACTTAATTGTACATTATGAAATAAAGACTGTAATTGGTTTTTAACTCAAAGGATAAATGCTTAAGAAGATAGATACTCCATTTTCCATGATGTGCTTATACTACATTGCATGCCTGTATCAAAATATTTCATGTACCCCCTAAATATACACACCTACCAGGTACCCACAAGAAATTTAAAAATAAAAGCACAAAATATTGAAATAACATAGGATGAATTAGAAAATTAAATATAGTGGCAAAGTATTCAGGTAAAAAGCAAGTAGAACTCCAGAAACTTCATTAAAGGGGAGACACCACAGTGCCTAAGTAGAAGGTAGTTTGTGTGGAATGCAGATTTACACTAACCAACTTCTCTTTTCTCCTTCATAGCCTTTCTATACCTTCCTAAGTTCTGTTTCACCATTTCCTAAAGAATCTTTTTAGAAGAAAACACATCTAAATACATCTTAACCTTGTTAAGTTATAATTTTAGTCTGTTTCTTATATCTTGTTGATGATGATTGCTGAAGCTCCTAGGAAGTATGAGAACCATGGTTTATAGTTGTGGTTTGAATTATAAATATTATCTGACTTCATTAACATTGGAAGGTCTTACTCTAAGCTATCAAATCCTAAATTCCATACTAGTCAATTGGTTTTCCTCCTTTCTACTCTTTGCCATTATTAGCTCTTTTCATTGTTTCTTTTTCTTTCTTTTTTTTTTTTGCTTTCTTTGTGATAGATTTAACGTACAACCAAGTAAAATTATGCATAATTCAAATAGGCTGTATAAATGGTAAAGTAATATTGCAATTCTACTCGTGTATTTTGGTAGTAATTATTTTATTTCAGTGTTCATAATAAGCAACATAAATTCTGAATTGTGCTATTTTCTATATATATGCTATTACTTTTTAATAAATACAAGCAAGCCAAATAAATACCTCATTCTCAACAGTGAATCAGTAAATATTCTAATAATTGTAAGTATCCGTATAATTCTTTTGCTTTTGAAGTTTTTGTTTTCTTGTTTTAATTGGTACATAAAAGTTGTACATATTTTGGAGGGTATTTGTGAGATATATATATACATATATGCATAGCAATCAAATCGGGGTAATTGGGATTTCTGTCACCTCATTTATCTTTTCTTTCTGTTGAAAACATTCTAATTTTCTTCTATTTTAAATTATACAATAAATTATTGTTAATTATAGTCATCCTACTGTACTATTGAACAGTAAAACTTACTCTTTGAGTAAGTACAAACTGTAATTTTATACCCATTAACCAACTTCTCTTTATTCCTTCTCCCCGCTACACTTCCCAGACTCTGGCAACCACCATTCTACTCTCTATGAGATACACTTTTTTAGCCCCCACATGTGAGTGAACCTATGCAATATTTGCCTTTTTGTGCCTGGCTTATTTCATTTAACATAATGAACTCCTTTTCTATCCACGTTGTTACAAATGATAGTATGTTAGTTCTTATTTTATCTATTTTCTCTTTTTCCACCAAGGTTGTCAAGTAGACAGGTTGTTTCATCAAAGACAATTGTAAGGAAAAACTAAACTTCAGAAAATAAAAGTTAGAGATGACACTCGTTTGGATTATGTGGTAGAAAGATTTTTAAGGGATTCTAAAACACTGTGTTTTAAAGAAGTGATAACATATATTGTATTCCCTTGAAATTCAAAGTGCAACACAAGCATTTGATCTGACTGCACTGTCTGCCTGAGATAGTAATGGCTCTATGTTTTCTGTAGAATTCGAAGAACTATCAAATTGGAAGATATTGCAGAAAAAGCTGTATGTTATTTACTTATATAAGTTTTTTCATTGCTGTCTCAATGAAAGAAAAGGCCATCTTTTTTTGGGGGGGGGTGGGCAGGGTGGGGGGACAGAGTCTCGCTCTGTCTCATAGGCTTGAGTGCAGTGGTGTGATCTAAGCTCACTGCAACCTCTGCCTCCTGGGTGCATGTGATTCTCTTGCCTCAGCCTCCCAAGTAGCTGAGATTACAGGTGTGCACCACCATACCTGGCTAAGTTTTGTAGTTTTAGTAGAGACAGGGTTTCACCATTTTGGCCAGGCTGGTCTTAAACTCCTGACCTCAGGTGAAACACCCGCCTCAGCCTCCCAAATTGCTGGGATTACAGGCATGAGCCACTGCGCTCGGCCTAGAAAAGACTATCTCAAGGGCTAGGACCATCATGCATAGATTAATGGAAGTCAAAGAAAAAGTATGGGATTTGGAAGTTGGCAAATCTCACAAGGCAAACTATAGATTGTCTTAATCTAATAATCGCCAATTTTGATTTTAGGCTTGCAATAAAAGTGGGCTTTGGTTAAGCCATGCATGGGAAAGAAGGGGTGAGCAAACTAAATTCCAATGTTAACTTTGATTGTGTTCAAGTTTAATGATAGAGACTAGTATTGCTTAATGACCTGAGAAACTGGGAGAACAAGAGGGAGTAGTTTTAGTGTCTACTGTACATATAAGATATCAAAATATGTGTGAATGATTATTTTTAGTGATAATCATCACAATTAATTTTGGATTATCAAACAGCAAGTCAAAGGGCTTAAAATCTTTCTAGGCTCTATCTGTAAGATTAGATGACATTTATAAAACTATGATTCATTTTTATAATACCAACACATTATTATTCAGTAGATGAGTTTTGTGAAAAAGATCCATTCCACTTATAAACTTTGTGCATTAAAAGCTACATTTCTCTTCTTTTTGTGACTGAATCATTTGCAGAACCTGGCCTCATTTTTTTCTGTCTTTCTCTGCTAGAGTATATCAGTGTACGAATGAATGTCAGATCACGCATTATGGTCAGAAGCTGTCCTGCGTGTTCTGGTTATGAACCAAAGAAAATACTTACAAAGACGACAAAAACAAACTTTTTTTCTGTTTTCCCTTGTTTTTTTTTTTGGATAAATTAAAACAATTTGCCTTACTGAGACAGTTTCTGGGGAGTTTAATAAGCTGTGAAAATAGAACACATAACCTGAGCTGTAAAGCAAAGGGTAAAGATGGATATACAGATAGGAGGTGGTGGGGCATGGTGGCTCATGCCTGTAGTCCCAACAGGATCACCTGAGGTCAGGAGTTCAAGACCAGCCTGACCAATATGGTGAAAGCCCATTTCTACTAAAAATGTAAAAATTAGCCAGGCATGGTGGCGAGCACCTGTAACCCCAGTTACTCGGGAGGCTGAGACAGGAGAATCGTTTGAACCAGGGAGGCGGAGGTTGCAGGGAGCCGAGATAATGCCACCTCACTCCAGCCTAGGCGACAGAGCAAGACTCCATTTGAAAAAAGAAAAGAAAAAAAAAGAGAAAAGAGATGGGGGGTATGGGGAGGCAAGCTCCACATTCGGTAGTTTCCAATCTTTTTATCAAAGAATTGCCTGTCACAGTTGTCAAAACTTAGGATGAGCTTACGTTAAAAGTAGATCAGCTCTTAGATCACTTAGATTAATAAGTGATCAGCTCTTATTAATTCCTTCATTTCCATTAAATGCATCTTGTTTCTCTTTAAACCTACCCTTGAATATCTAACTCGACCATTTTATTGGTATCACTGTACCATTTCTACGCCTTTAAGCTCTAATGGGTGCTAAATTTCTGATTTTAGCATTCACCATTATATTTATTGTTGAAAAAGATTGTATTTCTAAAAGTCACCCTGTAATAATAATGAAATAGTAAATATATATTGAGCATTATTGTATGTCAGGCACTGAGCTAAAATAACTTATAGATTATCTCATTTCATGGACTTTACAGCCCTCTGTGGTAGGTACCACTTTTCTCACTATTTTTCAACTCAGTTGAAGAGGTTTCAATGTAATGAAACTCAGGAACATAAATAGTGGGAGAATTAACATCCAAAATTCTCACTACTACTACCTTATGCAGATAAATCTTCAATTCTAACTGTAAACTGTTTTTAATTCTTGCAACATCTGACTGGAGATTTTGCTCTTGTCACTTCTCCACATAGCTTTCTAGCAGGAGCTTGTTTGTAGGTGATGCCCAAGTACTTGGGAGGAGTGGCTAAGACACTGAAGTGATCCACGCTACTCCTTTGAAGCAGTGGTGTGAAAATTAAAGTCTGCTATAAAAGAGGAAGACTTTGGCCCTTTTGTGCCATCTTTTCTTCATATCCTCCTTGGAAGACTTTCACCTTCTTGTAAAGAGTAGTTTGCACATCCCTTGTGAAAATACCTTGGCCTTCTACTTGTAAGCTTTGTAAGTTAAAAACTATTTTAAGAAGGAAGTTCTGTCACTTGCAAAAACATGGATGGACTTGGAGAGCATTATGCTAAGTGAAATAAGCCAGGCTTAGGATGAAATGTACTCCATGATGTCACTCATACGTGGAATCTAAAAAAAAGTTGAACTCCTAGAAGCATAGAGTAGAATGGTAGTTTGCAGAGGCTAGGTATTGTGGGGAAATCGGGAGATGTTGGTCAAAAGGCACAGTTTCAATTACATAGGATGAATAAATTCTGGAGATCTACTGTATAGTGTTATGACTATAGTTAATCTATTACATACTTGAAAATTACTGAGAAGAGATTTTAAGTAGTCTTACCACATAAAAAATGGTAAGTATGTGAGGTGATGGATATGTTAATTAGCTTGATTTATTTCACAATGTGTATAGCTGTATATCATTTTATGTGATACATCATAAATATATACAACTTTTGCCAATTATATCTCAATAAAGCTGGAAAAAAAAAGAGAAAAAAAATGAAACCCAATCTTGCTTGAGGTGGCCTGACACTACAGAAGACTGGGAGAGTTTGGGGGGGGTTACAGTGGTTGCTGATGAGGACAGGGCCAGTCTCTCCAGTAGTGCAAGCCTTTCAGTAGGATACACTTATTCTGTTTTTTTTTTTTTTTTAACTAACATTATAATCCAAACTGAGATACATTCCTAAAATCATGTGCTCACAGATGTGTCTGACTGATGCAGATGGAATAGTTGTTTTCCTTGGTCTGTTTGTGCTCTGTTCGTGCAATTCCGTGTGAGCTATGAATTCAAAGAAAGATGCATGGGTGAAACTACTTAAGAAGCTGGATGTAAAATTAGTATAAGTGCCTGATCTCCTATCTTCCTTATATTCTAAGAAACTTTGATTTTGTCCCTCGGGGGCAACACAAGGGAATGTCTGGATGACAAAAATTCTGTCTCACTCATGCTTTCCCTTCCTCCAAACTGATTATTCCAGGGACAGAGAATACAGGAGCTGAAAAGAGTTACTGCTCTCCTGAGAAGTGTGCTACTCCTCTGATGACACAAATGGAGAGCTGTTTTCTCATGTGCTTTCTCTATAAAATAGGACACATTGAACAAGTCTGGCTAGCCTACAGCCACCATGTCAAGAGACCCAAAGTGTGCCCACAAAGAAAAAGAAAGAGATGATCAAAGATCCTCAGTTATTTGAATTTTCCCGGCCCAGTCACCAGAAGTGCAAGTCAGGAAGCCTTTGAAAAAAACATCAGCCACCATCTGACTAAAACTAAATGAGACCCCAAGAAAGAATTGCCTAGCTAAGACCTGTATCTTCAGATTTGTGAGCAAAAGACATGATGATATTATTTTAAGCCACTGTTTTGAGGGCAGGGGGTTATTGTCATATAACAATAGAACCAGAATTATAAGTCAAATAAAAACAAAGATTAAACTAAGATAGTGGTAGTTGGGATAAAACAAAGTGGAATCCTTCAAGTTATTAAGAAGGAAGACCCGTGCAGGGACAATTCTAAGGGCAAGAAATATTTCTGGCTTTGGAGTCAACCAGTCTCATACTCATACTATTTGGCACTTGTTCTGCATAGAGTTGCTTATTTTTAAGTACTGATTAAATAACTAACTGCCTTGTTTGAATTCTAAATTTATCAAACAAAATTAGCAAATGGTTGCAAGTAGCTGAAACACTATCATACCTCTTATTGGAGATTGATATATTGAAATACTGGTTTTGTATTATCAGTTTAAATATGGCAACATAAAAAACTCTACATGAAAAACTCAACCCTATTTATATGGTCAGTTCCAGCATTTTCAAATTCTAATGCTTCATCAGGTGATAAAATATAAAAAGTATTTTAAGGGAAATTTGGGAAATATACATTCTAAGTTACATGAGGTTGGAAAATACTAGTAATTTTTTAGGAGTAAAGCAGAATTGTGAGTATGTAAAGCATGGTCTTATTCTTAGAAGAAATACACGGAGTATTATGGTGTGAAGTGTCATGATGTGTGAATTTATTGTCAAATGGAAAAAAATCAAGGTTTTTAGTACATAGATGCTCATGCTATCCTTTGAAATTTTTGTATGTTTCAAAATGTTTGTAACATAAAAGGCTAGAAGAAAGTCTTACCCTTGAAAAGGTAAAAACATAGAATATGACATTAAAAAATTGAAATGGATATTTGAGCAAATATGACATTTTAATACATTATTTCATCTTTTGTTAAAAAAGATGTGTTGAGATAAAAAGTAGTACAGAACAAAGCACAGAGAATTGAATTAAACATCTAATGTAAAATTTTGTTTCAGGTCCTATTGGATTTATAAAATACATGTTATTTTCAAGTACACATTCTAAAAAAAGTAAAAGCTCGCCACGAATGCAACATGTTGAAGTCAATAATAGTATTTCTCTTGAGCAACTATTATGTACCAATCATTGAAATAGGTATTTTGCATATATTATCTCTAGAACTCAACAATATTTCTATGAAAAAAGTAGTATGCCCATAACTATAAGAAGAAAATCTTATTTCCTTGACAGGAATTTTTCTAGCTCTGCAAAAAAAAGTTCTTTTTTTTTTTTTTTTTTTTTAGTGAATATGGTAAGTAATTGAATTATGAAACATGGGGATTTATTGGAGTAGTTATAAATACACACTGAGCTGAGCTGTTTTTCTAGAGAGAGGTATGTTTAGAGGGAGGATACCTAGTGACATTTTATTTTCCTAAAAAGATACAGGCAACTTATAAATCAGAAACAAATATTTCTGGAAGATTATGCTATGGGGAGAAAGTTCAAAACTCTGTAGGGTAAATGGGGTAAGAAAGATGAAGTAACTCTGGACAAGGAAGAGAAACATGTAATTGCTATTGTCCAAATCTTTGTGTCCCCCTAAAATTTATGTATTAAAATTCTAACCCCTAAGGTGATGTATTGGGAGCTAGAACCTTTGGGAGGTGATTAGGTCATGAGGGTGGAACTTTCACACTAATGTCTTCGGAAACCCCAGAGAGATTGCTCATTTTTTTCTGTTACATGAGGACACAGTGAGAAGGTACCATCTATGAATTAGAAAATGGGCCCTCACCAGACGCCAAATCCATCAGCACCATGATCTTGGACTTCTTAGCTTCCAGAACTGTGAGAAACAAATGTTTGTGTTTTATAAGCCACGAAGTTAGTGGTATTTTTGTTAAAGCAGCCTGCATGGGGTGAAACACTAATGGATCTTCAATTTTGCATGGGCATGCAATGTAAATTATCTATCCCTGTAAGTGCCCAAAAGGTTCTCCTTGCCTGATGCCTAGACAGAGCCAATTTATTAAGACAAGGGAATTGCAGTAGAGAAAGAGTTTAATTTAGGCAGAGCTGGCTGTACAGGAGACCAGAGTTGTGTTATTACTCAAAATAATAAATCAGTCTCCTTGAAAACTCAAAGATAGGGTTTTTAGGGATAATTTGGTGGGTGGGGGGTCAGAAAGTAGGAAGTGCTGATTGGTCAGGTCAAAGATTACATCACAGGGAGTTGAAGCTGTTCTCTTCTGCTGAGCCAGTTCCTGGGAGGCTGTTTATCAATCTGGATGGTGCCAGCTGATCCATGCAGTGCAGGGTCTGCAAAATATCTTAAGGACTGATCTTAAGTTTTACAATGGTGATGTTATCCCTCAGGAGCAATTTGGGAGATTTAGAATCTTCCAGCCTCCAGCTGCATGACTTCTAAACCATAATTTCAATCTTGTAGCTAATTTGTGAGTCCTGCAAAGGCAGTCTAGTCCCCAAGCAGAAATGGAGTTTATTTTCGGAAGGAGCTGTTATCATCTTTGTTTCAAACTTAAACTATAAACGAAGTTCCTCCAAAGTTAGTTTGGTCTATGCCCAGGAATGAACAAGAACAGTTTGGAGGTTTAAAGCAAGATGGTGTCAGGTCACATCTCTTTCACTGTCACAATTATCTCTGTTATAATTTTTGCAAAGGTGATTTCATCCCATTCCATAACATTGTAAGTAAGGCATCTGTTTCAATGATATCAAAATATAGCCAGTTTGAAATATGAATATATGCTGAATGGACATGTGGTAAGAGCCAAATTTATGCACTGAAAATTGCTAACATTTGAGCTAAAGGGATAAATACATAATTTGGGTGAAACACAACTGATTTATGGTATACATATCATTCAACTGATAAGAGCAGAAGTTTGAGGGCAAGAGAATAAACTTTTAACTGTGACTGTTAAGTGTGCTATGGGCATCAATTAGTATGCTTTATAGAGGGATAGAAAGATTTTGGTTAATTACATAAGTCAATTAAGTGAACCTAAACATCTTTCCCCTTTGCTAATAACCTAGTGAAAAATTTTCCTACTTTTTGTATTGATTAATGTGATGGTTAGTTTTATGTGTCAATTTGGTTAGGCTACTGTACCCAGCTATTCAATTAAACACTTACTCAAAGTGTTGTCATGAAGGCATTTGTGGATGTAATTCACATCTATAATCAGTTGACTTCAATTAAATATTATTTTTGATGATGAGGGTGATCTTTATCCAATCAGTTGAATGGTCTTAAAAGCAAAACATTTATCTGAGAAAGAAGAAATTATTCCTAAAGAATACAGTATCACGTCTTTCTCCAGAGTTTGCAGCCTGAAGTTTCTACAGATTTCAAATTTGTTAGCCCCATACAATCATTGCAAAAGCCAATTCCTTGAAATAAAACTCTAATTCTCTATATATCTCTATCTCTATCTATCTATACATCTATCTATCTACCTATCTATCCATCCCTCTAGTTCTATTTCTCTGTAGAATACTGACTAATAGGATTTGTAATCTAGTGATTACATAATTTATCATCCAAGCTGGTACACATTTGAATGTGAAAGAGACACTAGTAATAATCATGTCAGTAAACTAGGGAAAAAGTAGAGCTTTGCCAGGCAAACTGTGAGAAAGGGTTCCCGTAGGTAAAATAAATTTTATCTACCAAGAACCATCAAGATAATCTAATGAATAAAAGAAGTTCATTCTTTTGTTTTAAGCTTTTGTTTTAAGGGAATTTAGTTAGTTATCAAAAGTGTTCTGAACTAAGTTAAAGAAACAAATCACCACATAATTTGGAAAGAAATCACCTATTAACATTATACAAAGCATTTTAGTTTCTTTTGACATTTTCTAAATTCAAAAGTTTGGAATCCTACAATTATTTTGCATTTGAAAATGATGAATTAAAAAAGAAATCAGAATCCACCAAAATAATGGTAGGCATTTAGACTTGATAGATGGTTTTAATGCAATTGTGCAATTATCCAAGTTTAACCTTCCTGGTTATAGCCCTATTCAATCCTGTTTTCTTATCATAGATAGGTTTTACATGACTACTAACTGGCTGAGAATCAAGAAATAAATTATTTTGTGAAATTGAATTCTGTTAGTTTCTCCTTAATCTGTATTTGTGTCAGATTTTCAATTGTAAATAACTTTAGCAATTTGGAGAGAGAGTCTATTATTGCCTAGCAAATTGTGTATCTGCACAGTTTTTGGAAAGCTAGAGAATGTGACTTTACAAGCTTATTTTGGTGCTTGGAGACATGTCGTGAAAAACGAGTCATGTGACTGAGACTCCTCAAAAGTCCACCACTTATTCGTGGTTTCACTTGTAGCAGTTTAAGTTACCCACAGTCAACCACAGTCTAAAAATATTAAATGAAAAACTCCAGAAATAAACAATTCCTAAACTTTAAATTGCATGCTGTTTTGAGTAGCATGATGAAATCTCTCAGCATCTTGCTCAGTTTCACCCAGGATGTGAATCATCCCATTGTCCAGGAGATCCATGCTGCACATGCTGCCCACCTGTTACTCACTTAGTAACCCTCTCTGTTACTGGATCAAAAAAGAAAAAAGAAAAAGAAAAAAGAAAACAGTATATGGAGGGTTTGATATTAGCCACAGTTTTTAGATATCTGCTGGGGGTCTTAGAACGTATTCTCTGATCATTAAGGTGAGACTACTGTACTAAAGAAAGTTATGGTTTGCCATATTGCTAAAAACTCTGATAGTAATACTGGAAATTATATGAATAGACCATTCTAAACTTCATGTGCAGTGTTAATGAAAACCTATTTCAATGTTCAAGAAAATATAAATTAATACAACTGACATTTAATGCGTTGAAAAATTAATGTGGAACTTGTCTTCACACTTCCTTCTCCTTTTAAACATTCTACACTATGAAGCCTCCCTGGTTATAAAAAGATCTCTCCTTCTCTCCTTTCCATGATAAGTCTGAAAAGCAAGCATAAACACCAAAAGGGGAGAGAGACAGAGAGACTTAGAAGTATCCAATTAAATACTAAATAACAGAAAGTGTGATCAAATATATTTTATGCTGGCTCTTCTGATAAAGCAATAAGAGGTTATTTAATGAATAGATTAGTTGACCAAAAAGGCCTTAACTTTCCCCTCCTCTGGACTAAACTTTAGACAGTCTTCTTCCTGAAAATGGACCTCTAACTTCCCTTTTCTTGGTGCATCTACAATAGAAAACTTGCAATTATAAATTATTTCCCTTTGAGATGTAAATCTTCACATTCCAGGAATGTCTTTTCTCAAGGACCCTGGAGCCATTCCTTTGAAATGTCCTCTTTAAGAAAGACAGGAACCCCTTCTCCTCCTTTCTGTGGGAGTATAGAAACTTTTCTTTGATAAGCACCGATTAGCAAACACAGGTGGACTAATCATATTGGCCAACCTCCCTATAACATCTTATGGCACCTTTTATTAGGTCACCAAAGTGTTGACTTTTTTTTTTTTCATCTTTTGTTACAGGGTAGTCTTTCTCTGCTATTACAATAGTCTTGAATAAAGTTTTCTTTGCCATTTTTAACAAGTATCTGATGTATTTTTTTATATCACCTTCATCTTAATTTTAAATATGTGCACAGACACAGCTAACATTTAAACATCTTATGTTTTTAGCATAGCATATGCATACATATACATATATGCATGCATACATACATGTGCATGCATGTGTATCTTCTAATATATTCATTGACATGGTCTTACTTAAAACCTTTGTACTTAGAGAAACTAAGTTCACAATTGAGTCTCCCATTGTTAGAAGTTAAAGACTTGAACCTCCAAGATAGAGCTGTGACATTTTATTGATGAAATACCAAAATGTTAAGAGTGTTCTGATTGGACAATAAAAGTATTAATTAGATAAAACTTGCATTCAAAGAGACTAAACACAGAAAAAAAAAAGGCAACGTAATTGCAAGATGACAGCAGGCAAAAAAGAATCTGAGGACAATTTGAATTGAATTTGATTAGAAACATAATAATCATAGCACTTTAGTATAAAAAAGGTCACTATTTTACTTGAAGTTTTATTTCTAGTTTGTTCTTTAGCACTAATACGATATCCCTGGGAACTCTGTGGAATATCTCAATTTTACATGCTACCAAATATATACATATATAATTTATTTATTCATCTATAATTCTTCATGACAGGCTAAATATCTGAAAATGAGAGTTTATTCTTGTCTGATGACCATCCAGCTGTGTAATATTAAGTGGGTAAATCAAAATCTCTGACTCTGAGCATTCTCAATTTCAAAGCAAAGACTGAACTATACATTTTCTATGTTCCCAGCATTCAAAAACTATGCACAGAAAGCCGCTTACTGGTTTTAACTGTGGTTTTGGGGGTGCATTTATAAACACACAAATGTTTTATATAACAAAATAGTTGTGAGTACTGGATTTAAGTGGAGTGGTTTGGCGTGAGTGTCATGTTGTTAACTAAGAAATGGTAAATGACAGTGGTGACTGATGAACGGAAGGAAAGAGCATGATATGGTGGCAAGAATAATATGTATACAAGTATAAACAAGAAAAATATTAAATCATGTTATATCAAGTATTTTCCAGAAATACAAATATGAAAAGGAAGAATTCATCATTGTGATCTTTAATTTTGTGGTCTTCATTGTTTGGGGACAATATAATTGTAACTCAAATTATGCTGCGTCAAATCATTAAATTAATACATTTGTATATGCATGCTCATATATGCACAAATTGAAATATATAAAAATTCAAAACACACTTGGGTAATAATAAAAATCTTTAAGGTTGCCATAAACACAAACACACATACACACAACTAAGCAATCAAAAAACACTAGAGCCAGGCACAGTGGCACATGCTCATAGTTCCAGCCGAAAGGAGAGGTTGAGCCCAGGAGCTCGAATGAAGCCTGGACAGCATAACAAAATTCCATTTACAAAAAAAAACAAAAAACAAAAAAAACCCACTAAAACAACCTAATCAAAAATTTATAAATTTGAAAATAATCTCTATTAAGACTTTGATAAAATTTAAAAATGCTATAAAGACACAAGTGTTATACATTAAGGATGTAATAATTTGCATATAGGTTAAAATGCAATGTTTTAAAGAAGATAATTCAAATAGCTAGTTCTTTGAAAAGATCAATAAAATGGAAAAGCTGCTGAAAAGAAAATTAGAAAAAGAAAGAAAGTAAGGGTATATAACATAAAAAAGTAAAAAAGCAGCTGTGAATTTATATTTGGAATGGATTAAGAAGTTGTAAAAATATGCATAAAAATTAACCTTTTAAAAATATATATGTAATGGAAATTTATGAAAAAAATATAGTTAAATTCATTATTGAAAATGCAGAATATTTGAACACCATAAGAGTCAAAATTTTATAAAATGTTTATAAATACATAGCACAAAAGGCCAGTACAGTTGGCTTACTAAAGAATTTATTCATTCTTTTAAGAAAAAAAAATTTTTTTAAACTGCTCTAGTAAATATAAATATTTGGAAAGCATACAAGTTAATTTTATGAAACTAGCATAGGGAATATCAAAACCCAGTGATAACTGGGACTCACTCCTCTGCGCTATTTCCCTCTCCTAATTAACAGAAAGATACTGATAGTATATTGAAAACATCACAAGACGTATAAATGAATAGCTATATAATTTTGGAAGATGATGTCATTAAAAACGCCATTAAAGACAGAAACTATAAAGAATGTTTAGACCTTGCAATTAAAAGAAAAACACAGGTAAAATATAATTAATTAAAAGGCAAATGAAAACTCACTAAAAACATTAGATCCAATATTTGTTTTAGAGTGCATATATTTATTTTTTTTTAATGGGCAAACCTCTCCCACTGCCATTTGAAAAGCCAGAACAGTCACTATCATTGTCATCACATCACCTTTACCAGAAATTCTCCCAGACATGGAGGCTGTCAGGGTGCACAGTAGTGGTTCAAAGATGCTTACTAGAATTGCCTGGTGACATTTGCAAAAATAAATGTTTGCGCCACACCCAGACAATTAAGTCAGAAATTTTGCAGGACATTTTTTATCTCTTATACTTATTTAAAATAAAAGTATTCTTATGAATGTTTGTTGTTTTTTTCTTTAACATTTAAGTGAGAAATAAAAAGTTCATCCTTTGACTACTAAATAAGTAGCCTCAGAAAGCTACAGTTTCATGCTGTATCACTCGTATCACATCCCTAGTATGCTTTCCCAATTTTTGGCATCCAAATAACCTTAATCTGTTGTTGTTCTACCTAGTAACTAGCCATCTTAATTTCTTCTGAAATTCAATGAAAGTAACTGAAATGCGTATTTGTTTTCTGATACCTTCTGAGGAAGTGTTGAGGGAAGGGTGAAATGCAGAAGGATCAGGGTCAACACATTTCATGGCATTCTAAAAATATCCTAACATTCTTCACTCACCTATTTCTTCAGAGTATGTTCAATAGCTGTCTTCAACTCTCTCCTTTCTATGTTCCTAATTCTCTTGTTTTCTAAACTCTTGTCCTCAAATTTTAACCAACACAGATTTATGCCTGTTCTTTTCTACTGGTTCAGTTTGTTACATGAGTCACTGCCAGAGCTGCTTTCAGATTCCCCCATGACTCTATAAGTACCAGGAGATGAGAGGAAATCTTAAAATCACCTTAGGTTCTGGGAGTAGGAGTAGCGAAAACACTTATAATTATTTTATCCCCATCACAATTACAAAGGCATGCTTATTGAATGACTGACTCTTTCTAAAACAGGATAAGAAGTTTATTTTAATGCAACATTTAAAGAAATAAATTAATAATGAAATCAATGTGGTAAAAATATTGTTTTATCTTAAAAATGTTGAATGTTTATATTTTATTTTAAATAAATTAGAAACAATTTATAAAAAAGCTGATAAATAATGCAAGATAAGTTTATAATAGACCTGTGCATAACATTTCTATTTAGGTGACAACATACATATTAATTACATACTTCATGAGCAACAGGTCTTTGAGTATAGGATAACTGATTATGTTTTTACAGCAAAAACCTTTAAATTTTTTCTTCTTCTGTACTTATATTTACTCCTTGTTATGCCTAGTACAGTGTGGACCACAGGTAAGCACTCAATAAAATGTCTGAGTAAATGAATAGTACTAATATAAGAATATACTGAGAAAAGAGATAAAAGACTATCAAACAATGATAGAAAAGATTGTTAGGAGGAAGATAGCAATTGATTAGTAGTTGCCAAAAGTCGTTCAATAGTGTTCCCACATCAACAAAAGAGGACAAACACAGACAAAGATCAATTTTTCTTTTGCCGTGCATTTCTAAAGCAAACTCCCACATCACTTTCTCCCTCTAACTTAGTAAAAGCAGAAGGGCATTTTTGCCCCACTCCTGGACAAGGTAAATTAGCATCATTACCTATTCACTTCCCCTCTCTGCCTCCACTGCCCAACAGTGACATTATCATACACAAAAGGAATGTGTGGAAAGACACATCAAGAAATACAATTGACTTCAATCTACATTAAAACACATTTTACCCCTTGGGTCTCATATAGCAATATATTGAACTTCCTTTGCCAATTTCCTCTTATTTGCAAAGCACTATCTCTACAACTACATTAAAAAAAAAAAGAAATTCCATACATTCAAGAGGCTCAGTTAGCCTGCTGATTTTATAAATATCACCCAACATGAGAAAAAGCATTTGCACAGTGATTTTCCAGGAGCAGGGGTAAGATCAAAAGAGAACAAAGAAGATAAAAAATAATCTGGGAGATTGCTTACATTTAAAATTCTACACTGATGTGCCTCATAATGGTGTTTCAGACAATCACAAACCACATATACAAAGGTGGTTCCATAAGATCGTCATGGAACTGAGAAATTCCTATTAACTAGTGACCTCCTAGACTTCCTAACACCTTAGTGCAATTCATTACTCAAGTGTTTGTGGTGATGCTGGTGTAAACAAATCTGCTGCACTGCCAGTCGTGTAAAAGTATAGCAGAGACAATTAGGTCCAGTACAATTACTTTATGATAATAATAAATTACTATGCTACTGATTTATGTATTTACTACACTATACTTTTTATCATTTTAGTGTATTCCTTCAAGTTATATATATATTTATATATATATATTTATATATATATTTATATATATGTTTATATATATATATATTTATAAAGTTAACTCCAAATGGCCCCAGGCAAGTTCCTTAGGAGGCATTCCAGGAGAAGGCATTGTTATCACAGGAGATAACAGCTCCATGTATGTTATTGCCCATGAAAACCTTTCGATGGGACAAGGTGTGAGGGTGGCAGACAGTGATATTGATAATCCTGACTGGGTAGGTCTAGGCTAAGGTGTATGTTTCTGTGTAGTTTTTAACAAAAAGGTTTAAAAAGTAAAAACATAACATTTTAAAAAAACATTTAAAAATTTTTTTTTATTTTTAATTTTTTAAATTTTTTAGAAATTTTAATTTTTAAAAACATTTTTAAAAATTAGAAATAGAAAAAAGCTCACAAAATAAGGATATAAAGAAACACTATTGTAGGGCAGCTATACAATGTGTATTTTAATGTTATTACAAGAGTCAAAAAGTTAAAAAAATTAAAAAGTTATAAACTTTAGAAGAAAATTACAGTAATCTAAAATTAATTTATTAAGGAAAATATTTTAAAATAAATTGAGTGCAACCTAAGTGTACAGTATTTATAAAGTCTACAGTAGTGTAATGTCCTAGGCCTTCATATTCACTCACCACTCATTCACTGAGCAATTGACTCATCCAAAGCAATTTCCAATCCTGTAAGCTCCATTCATGGTAAGTGCCCTATACAGGTATACCATTTTTCATCTTTTATGTCATATTTTACTATATCTTTTCTATGTTTAGACACACAAACACATACCATTGTGTTAAAATTGCCTACAATATTCAGAATAGTAATATGCTGTATGAACTTGTAGACTAGGAGCAATAGGCTATACAACACAGCCTAGGTATGTAGTAGGCTGTATCATTTAGGCTTAAGTATATTCTATGATGTTCACACAATGAAATTGCCTAATGATGCATTTCTCTGAATGAACGTAATTATAATGGTTTCATTTATGATTTCTCCACTTTTCAATTGTATGAAAGTGATAGCATTCAGGGAAAACCATATTTTGAATTTTTATTTTTTCCTGGGCTAGCAGTAAGTGGTACAATACTCTCTCAAGATGCTTTGCAGTAGCAGCGAGCCACAGCTCCTAGTCAGCCAGATCATCAGAAGAGGAAACACGGAATACTTGATATCTTCCTAAGGAACATTATGCCTGCTAAACCATCGGTGAGTGTTGCATTCCTCAGCACCTTCTACCTGGTATTCCCAACCCTCATCAGAAGAGAAAGAATCTGGGTACTCATTCTCTGTTGCAACCCCATCATCCAGCAATTAATTTTACTTCAAGTCTTCAAGCATTCTTCAGACCTAGTGTGCTTTCTGCTATGTATGTTAATGGTCAGTACTCATACTACCATCCTGTTTTTCACTGTCAATGCAGTATTTAATACATTTCAGAAGCTATTCAGCACATTATTATAAAATAGGGTTTGTGTTAGATGATTTTGCTTCACTGTAGGCTAAAGTCATTGTTCTGAGCACGTTTAAGGTAAGCTAGGCTAAACCATGATGTTGGTAGTTTAAGTGTATTAAATGCAATTTCAATTTATATTTTCAACTTACCAAGACACAACCCCAATTTAAGTTGAGAAACATCTATGTATGTTTATTTTAAAATTATAAATTTGTTTTTTTTGCATTTCTGTGTGCATATGAGTATGTGTTTATATGTATATATGTATAGTGTGTATAGTGTGTGTGTGTTTGCAAACATTTATACACACATACATGCAAGAAAAACAAAACAATAAAGTAGTGGAGAACACTAAAAAGGTAATTTTGACTGGAGAGAGAAACGTAGAATCTAGCACTGTAGTGTGTGTCATATTCTCATACTTTTTCTCCAGTTAGGAGAGAGCGATTTATCCCACAAAGAGTTACCCCAAACAGTAACAATGTAACATAGTTATATATCCATAACCTAGTAAGTGAAATGGAGTTGAGCATTACATGACGAATTATACTTTAACAAACTCTACTTGAGAATGAACGATAGAACATCCATTCACTTAGTTGACAAACATTTTAACTCTCATACAAAATTCATAGCAAAAGGCAAAAATGCTATGCAAAAAATAAATGCAAAGACCTCTTAATACAAAAAGGGGTGATTAAAACTGCGCATATCAGTGGCAGTTGAGAGAAAGAGAGCAGAAAGCTGAAACTGGATCCCTTCCTTACACCTTATGCAAAAATTAATTCAAAATGGATTAAAGACTTAAATGTTAGACCTAAAACCAGAAAAACCCTAGAAGAAAACCTAGGCACTACCATTCAGGACATAGGCATGGGCAAGGACTTCATGTCTAAAACACCAAAAGCAATAGCAACAAAAGCCAAAATTGACAAATGGGATCTAATTAAACTAAAGAGCTTCTGCACAGCAAAAGAAACTACCAGCACAGTGAACAGGCAACCTACAAAATGGGAGAAAATTTTTGCAACCTACTCATCTGACAAAGGGCTAATATCCAGAATCTACAATGAACTCAAACAAATTTACAAGAAAAAATCAAACCCCATCAAAAAGTGGGCAAATGATATGAACAGACACTTCTCAAAAGAAGACATTTATGCAGCCAAAAGACACATGAAAAAATGCTCATCATCACTGGCCATCAGAGAAATGCAAATCAAAACCACAATGAGATACCATCTCACACCAGTTAGAATGGTGATCATTTAAAAAGTCAGGAAACAACAGGTGCTGGAGAGGATGTGGAGAAATACGAACACTTTTACACTGTTGGTGGGACTGTAAACTAGTTCAACCATTGTGGAAGTCAGTGTGGTGATTCCTCAGGGATCTAGAACTAGAAATACCATTTGACCCAGCCATCCCATTACTGGGTATATACCCAAAGGATTATAAAACATGCTGCTATAAAGACACATGCACATGTATTTTTATTGGGGCACTATTCACAACAGCAAAGACTTGGAACCAACCCAAATGTCCAACAATGACAGACTGGATTAAGAAAATGTGGCACATATACACCATGGAATACTATGCAGCCATAAAAAAGGATGAGTTCATGTCCTTTGTAGGGACAGGGATGAAGCTGGAAACCATCATTCTCAGCAAATTATTGCAAGGACAAAAAACCAAACACCGTATGTTCTCACTTATAAGTGGGAATTGAACAATGAGAACACATGGGCACAGGAAGGGGAACATCACACACCGGGGCCTGTTGTGGGGTGGGGGGATGGGGGAGGGATAGCATTAGAAGATACACCTAATGTTAAATGACGAGTTAATGGGTGCAACACACCAACATGGCACATGTATACATATGTAACAAACCTGCATGTTGTGCACATGTACCCTAAAACTTAAAGTATAATTAAAAAAAAAAGAGCATGTCTACATTGACTTTCCAGGAGGAAGAAGAATTTAAGGGGTGAGAGCATGAGTCTGAAAGGGGAAGAATTAAAGGAGGTGAGAAGAGATTTCCAGAGTGAGAAAACAACAAAATAAGTAGTAGCTGGAGTGTGAAACCGATGAGTAACTTAGGACTTGGTGCTGGAGATAACGGCAGCATGAAGTTCAGAGAGGCTGATACATTGGAAGCAGGGACACCAGTTAGATGATTCTCTCAATTGTCATTAAATAATTTTCCCTGCGCAGAGTAAATCTGACCTGAAGATGCTCAGTTAGACAGCTACAACTTAAAATACATCAAGTAAATTATATAGACAATAATTGAAATCTATATGGTAGTGTTGTTATCAATTCATCCAACACATATTTATTCATTGACTGTTTTGTGCCAAGAACTGTGCTCACTTAAATTATGGAGTAGAGAAATGCAAAAGGTCACCCACCAACAGGGTGAAGCATCAGAGTAAATACAGGGAAGTATCAGAATAAACATGTCACGGTTCTTAGAAATGAATCAATTCTGGCTGGGTGTGGTGGCTCGTGTCTGTAATCTTAGCACTTTTGGAGGCTGATGTGAGAAGAACGTTTGAATCCAGGAGTTCAAGACCAGTCTAGGCAACATAGTAAGACTCTGTCTCTACAAAAGAATTAAAAAATTAGCTGAGCATGGTGATACGCACCTGTAGTCTCAGGTATTTGGGAAGCTAAAATGGGAGGATCACTTGAGCCCAGGAGTTGGAAGCTGCAGTTAGCCGTGATGGCATCATTGCACTCCAGCCAGAGTAACAGAGCAGGGCCCTGTCTCTATAAAGGAAAAAAAAATCCAGCCTAATAGCATATGTCCTGAGTACCAAATGACTAAAATAAAGTATTCTGGAATAAGGAAGGTAGGGACTAAATAGAGGAAAGAGTTGAAAACATCCAACTGCTTCTTATCCTTTTCCAGCCTAATGCCAGATAGAGAAGACTTAAATTCTCTGGAAGGTCTTCAAAGATTTAATTAAAATATGCTCTTATGTTTCTGACATTACATGACATTTTATTTCCTAACGTTTCTTCATAAATACAAATTAGCACTTGTCATTACAGGCTTTCAATAATATACATCCAACTCAAAAACTCTGCCTTTTTTCTCAAAACCCAGCCTCACATGATGACGTAACACACAGCTCCTAAGAAGAAAATATTTTAAGAAGTCTTTTGTCCAAACTTTATATTTATTTGTTTGTTTGTTTATTTATTTATTTATTTAGAGACAGAGTCTCACTCTGTTGCCCAGGCTGGAGTGCAGTGGCACGATCTCGGCTCACTGCAAACTCCACCTCCCAGGTTCAAGCAATTCTCCTGCCTCAGCCTCCTGAGTACCTGGGATTACAGGCATGCACCACCATACCCAGCTAATTTTTGTATTTTTAGTAGAGACGGGGTTTTGCCATGTTGGCCAGGTTGGTCTCAAACTCCTCACCTCAAGTGATCTCCCTGGCCTCAGCCTCCCAAAGTGCTGGGATTACAGGCGTGAGCCACCATGCCGGGCCCAGATTTTATTTTTAAATTGCACAGCATGTTTGAAACAGGAGCTACCTTAAGAGAAATGCAGATGTTTAAGAATTTTAATATTTCAAGTAAAGGGCAATAGTGATAAATAGGTTTAAGAAGGTACAAGGTAGCAGAAGCTACTGCCATGTCTCTGTCTTCTCCCTTATCTTTACTTTTATTATATTACTTTAGCCATCTTTTTGTCTCTAATGTTTCATTTTGCTTGTTTTGCTTTTTTGTCTAATTGTCATTTGTAATAGGACACGACCCTAGCCAAATGATACCTGGGAATTCTGAATGTTTACGTGTTTGCATGCACACAACACACACACACACACCACACACACACACACACACACACACACACACACACACACCCCTGGGCTCTCACTCCTCCAAACTACCTAGATTTTACAATTGTCCTCCTCACCAGTCCTATAAGACATGTGCCAGTGATGCCAGGAATCCTTGGTTTTCTCATTGCTTTACGTTTTTATCTGCCTGCCTTCACTGAGGCCATAGACTCCCCACCGTTCCATTCCTTATGATCATGGCAGATTCCTTTCAAGAAGAATTTACAGCCTCTTAATCCAAGCCAATCACTTTCCCTAACCAGTTGTATCACTTACTAGCTGGAGGAATCACTAACATTCTAAGCCTCCGTTTTCTCTACCTACAAACTGGGCATAATAATAGTATCTATTTCTTAGATTTGTTACAAAAAATAATTAGGTTATTGTACAAAATGCACTTACTTAGAAATGCATTTACATATGCGTTCGTGACTGGTGCATAATTATTTCATTATTTTTATCACTATCATCATCATTATCCATTCATCATCATCACTTCCTTCATCATTATTGAAAAGTTGATAAAATCATAACTTAATGAGCAAGCCTGACTCTTGTTAGATTTTTATTGTTTTTTTAATCACTCTATTTAGAGACTTTAAAATTGTTTTTCTCATTTATATAAGATTTGTTTTATAAGTTCCTGGCTCTGAAAGTGTGTAGCAAGTCACCTGGGAAACTGCAGAAAGCTAACAGAGGTACTCCTACATATTCTAACTTTTCTAGAGATGCATAGACACTACCAAAAAAGGATCACAGTGTATTTCTTTCAATGACATTATATATTTTCAAAGCTTGGGTTTTACTTTTTGCTGCCTTAAAAGGCAAGCACACTGAGAAAATTAACGTAGAGTAAGAAAGCAGGTTGGGAGGCCGAGGCGGGCGGATCACGAGGTCAGGAGATCGAGACCATCCTGACTAACATGGTGAAACCTCATCTCTATTAAAAATACAAAAAATTAGCCAGGCGTGGTGGCAGGCCCCTGTAGTCCCAGCTACTCGGGAGGCTGAGGCAAGAGAATGGCATGAACCTGGGAGGCAGAGCTTGCAGTGAGCCAAGATTGTGCCACTGCACTCCAGCCTGGGTGACAGAGCGAGACTCTTGTCTCCAAAAAAAAAAAAAAAAAAAGAGGAGGGTGAAGGTCTTCAATCTGAATTCAAGTTTTGAGAAGTGGTGCATTGCCCGCAAGAAACTGCACACATCCCATAAGTAAATAATTTTGGTTAAGAAAGAAACAGAAGTATTTTCTTCTTTGAATTTATAAATATTAATTTTCAAACTGCTGATAAGTTTAAGACATAAATATATATTAACATACTGCAAGCTGATACTCAAACAGGACCCTTAGGTGTTTTGTTTGTTTTATTGATCTAGGAATTACAGGAAAAAATTACTTTGGGTATCATAAACCAAGAAAATTTGGGCTCCCTGCTGGAATGTTCCACAATTCTAGCTGCTTATTAGCATCATGCGAAATTAAATACAAATTTAACCTCACCAGGGAATGCTGCTATACGTGAGGACTGAGAAATACCACCAAAAATAATCTACTTAATAGATAGAAAAATTAGAATAGACAAAATAGACAAAACTAGAGAAAAGAAAGCCTTCTTCCAGAAGTTAGTTCTTATTCCAAAGTCAAGTCCATCAAGATTATATTTTCATGAGATCATAAAACTAACTTCTCATCATTTCTTACTTCTTGTTTTCCCACTTCTATTTCGATTACGTTTTGTCAATATTGAAGGTCAATATTAAAATAATTTTATCTTTAATGGAAAGGCAGGTCTTTTAGAACAGAAATTATCAAAGCTTAACAATGTCTTTCCAAAGGAATGTGTTAAAATGCTGATGCTAAGTCCTCTTTTCTCAGAGATTCTGATGCAGATAGCATAAGAAAAACAGTTTAGAAAGTCTGGAGTTGAAAATACATGAAGCAATAACCATGAAGCTCCCTAAGAACTTAGAAATAAAAATTACTTCTGAAAATTAAGCCACAAAATCAGTTAAGAATGTGAGAGGCCAGAAGAAAAGATATAAAAATTCATTTTAAATTACTAAATATTAAGATATTATAATCAGACATGTTTATATTTATATATTTACATACTTATATTTATATACTTACACACTTAAAGATAACATCCAAAGAACATAATAGCTTTTCAGTAGCAGGCAAATAAGTAATATCTGAAAGGTAGGCATTGCAGTGGTGTGACAGAATCAGCTGGTGGTGACTTTTGAGAACTGGATTGTATGTATCCCAGCCGCATCTTTAGTGATATTGGTGGCTTCAACTTAGTCATAATGGTAATATTTATACCACAAAAACTGACAAACCTACAAATTAGCATGGTTTTCCTTAAAGAGCCAACTGTTAATCATTTATCAACAGGCCATTGAATACTGGAAAAACTCACCCAAACATGATTCAGAAAAGAAATTTCTCCAAGAGGTGTTATAAACATATTACATCTGCCTAGCATATCTATCTGTGTTGTTGAGACTAATGTCAATTTATACGTAAGTCTGATAATATTCAATGTTCATATCCCATAAACAATTCCCCCTGCTCTGTTTTCAAATTCTGATATTTCAGCTTCGCATGAAAATTTCTTTTTAAAAGAGAGTAACACCATTGGACCACTTGATGTCTGTTCTACCTGAGGTATTAATTAAGTAAACTGCTATTCTAATCTATGCGACATTGAGAATGTAGTAATCATCATTATCAATTTAAGTCTGAGAAATCCAGCATACTGACAATTTCAGTTTCTACAGGGAGGCTTATTGGTCAAGACTGTAAACTGATGGCACTTCATATCCAGCTAGTTGGCCTTCTCTGAAGCCACTAACCTCAATGAATAACTGAATGAAGCAATTCATCTAGAATAATTACAGAGCAGTACTTCCTCAGACCAGATGAACTGTACTAGAACAACTTCAAAAAAAAGTTGCTAGAAATTAATAATGCAACTTTTTTTTCCTTTTACCATGTAATGTTTATATCAGTTAAATCCATATTTAAAAAATTATCTCTTCTCTGTATAGCCATTCTAGAGGTCCTTATGGGCTAAGGAAATACAGGTATCAGATGCCTTCAACTGCTGTACAACCAGGCAGTTAAAACACTAGAAACCAGTTAGCAGAAAGCAAATATCCACTTAGGCTCAAATCTTCAAAGTGCCAGGGAATACTGATTAATTACCTATAAACTTAGACACTTGAATGTGGAAGGTCAGCACTAGAAATATCATCAGTACAAAATATCTACCCTAAGGGGCAGAACAAGATTATTTGTCTACTCATTATTTCACCCTAGGGGTTCTACTGATTTGGCAAAGAAATTTGAAACTAAAACTCCCTTGAAGATTATCAGATTTATCATGTTCATTAGAAGAGATCACTACTAAAGATTTTTTTTTTTAAGAAGAAAACCCTTTTTAAACTGGGACATCATAATAATGTATGATTATGTTTCCAAAGATGACCTCTGGCATGTATCTATGGATCCATACAGATGGTTTCTCAGGCCTAATGATTTACTGTCATTGAGACAAATGAAAAAATAATCCTGTAAAATTATAATTACTTGCTACTTCTTAATCTAGATAGGTTTTTAATGATAATGCTTTATGAAGCTATATTCTTCTGATTCTAATGCACTATTTCAAGGCAACCTACTTCAATAGCAAATGAATAAAAATGATTAGTAGGAATAGGAAAGATACATAGAGCATCTAAGTAAATGAAGCATTTTCATGAAAACTATTAAATTGATGAATTAGACTAAAGTGTCACTGCCATTAAACTCTGTTTAATAAATGTCAAATAAATACTTTAGCAGTGCTCTGCAGCCTTTGTGACTGTTACTGTATCTATCAGAGAAGGCATTAGCAATTGTTTTTGCATTGTATGTGTTTTACCTAATAAAAAGATTTACTTTCCTTCCATGATTGTTAATTTTCATTCCTGCTGATAAAACTGAATTCTGAACACTATTGGGCTTTAAGGAAAACTTTGAGACAAGGTAAATTTTCCTCTAAAAAGTCTGTAAATTATTAACTGCCACATTCTATATATTATTAACCTTTTACAATACACTTTAACACATGCATGCAGACACACACACACAAATGTTAGGGTATATTCTCAGTGCCTTATGAAGAGTATCGGATTTCTCAAATCCCAGGATATTCAGTCTATGTAGGAAAGTTTGATTCTCAGATCTCAAGCAAATAGAGATGATTTTGCTCAGTGGGTCACAGGCAACTCCTCAGCTAAGCTTTCCAGAAATGAAAAAGTAGATATAGGAAAAGAGCTCCCTTCTTTAAAGGATAATACAATATCTATTTCAGAAGGGGTAGTTAACAGGTTTGTTGTTTGAACTGTACACTGTAAAAATGAAGTAGATCTGAATTACTTACGGGATGGGGTACCAATCTACGTGCAGGGTTACACATGAGAAATGGGTACTAAAGCTTCCTACTATAACTATAAATTTGGCTAATCTCTTAGTTTTGTCAGTTTTTACTTCCCGTTTCTTCCTCATGAATTCACTTTCTCATCATTACGAAATTTCCAATTATATCTCTATAATATTTTTTGTCCCGAGGCCTGCTTTTTCTTATCTTTTTACAGACACACTATATTTTATGTATATATTTTGATTACCGTATATTTTTCTAACTTTTATATTCAATCTGCCTGTATTTGAATCTGAAGTACATTTCCTGTAGATAGCATACCTATGACTCCTCCCTCCACCAGTGTGACAATTTCCCTTTTAATTGGGGTTTGACTATCATCTTGATATTTTATTTCCATTTATTTTTTTTCTTTCCTTTTGTATCTTCCTTCAGGTTAATCAAATAATTTAAATTATTCCATTCTATTTCTTCTATTGGTTTTTTATGTTTTTTAAGTACTTGATTTTGCGATTACAGTATGCATTCTTAAAATGTCACAGTCTGGAAATAATTTGTGTTGTAGTACTTCAGGTAAAGTGTAAGAAATTTATCACTGCATAATTTCATTAAATCTCTATTTTTGTTATTTTGTTATTTGCTTTTATTTCGGTATGTGTTATAAACTCCAGAAGGATTATGATATTAAGTAATTTTTTTTTGCTTAAGAAGGTCAGTTCTCTATTAAAGAAATAAAGATATGAAATTCAGCCAGGGGTGGTGGCTCATGCCTGTAATCCCAGCACTTTGGGAGGCCAAGCGGGGCGGATCATGAGGTCAAGATATCAAGACCATCCTGGCCAAAATGGTGAAACCTTGTCTCTACTAAAAATACAAAAATTCGCTGGGTGTGGTGGTGCACGCCTGTAGTCCCAGCTACTCAGGAGGCTGAGGCAGGAGAATCACTTGAATCCAGGAGGCAAAGGTTGCAGTGAGCCAAGATCGTGCCACTGCACTCTAGCCTGGTGACATAGCGAGACTCCATGTCAAAGAAAAGAAAAAAAAAAAAAAGAAAAGAAATTAAGAAATTCTAAAAAGTCTTTCATATTTATCTACACATTTACAACTACTAGCTCTTTTCATTCCTTTCAGTAGATTCAGATTTTGGTTGGGTATTAATTCTCTTCAGGCTAAAGAATCTCTTTTACCATTTCTTTCTTTTTATTTTCATTTGTCATATTTATTTTTCTTCCAACCTTTATTTTAGGTTCAGGTTGTACATGTGCAAGTTGGTTACGTGAGTAAATTGTGTAGGGGTTTGATATACAAATGTTTTCATCACGGAGGTAGTGAGCATAGTACTCGATAGGTAGTTTTTCAATCTTCACACTCCTCCCATCTTCAACCCTCAAGTAGGCCCCGTATCTATTGTTTCCCTCGTTGAGTTCATGTGTACTCAACATTTAGCTCCCAGTAATAAGTGAGAGCATGCTGTACTTGGTTTTTTGTTCCTGTGTTAATTTGCTTAGAATAATGGCCTCCGGCTGCATACATATTGCTGGAAAGAACATGACTTCATTCTTTTGAATGGCAGAGTAGTATTCCGTGGTGCACATTTTCTTTCTCTATCTCCTCAGTGGTTGCCAAAAGTGGTACGATAAACTTATGTATGCATGTGCCTTTATGGTAGAGCAACTTATTTTCCATTTGGGTAAATATCCAATAATGGGATTGCTGGGTCAAATGGTAGTTCTATTTTAAGCTTATTGAGAAATGTCTAAACTGCTTTCCACAGGCTGAACTAATTTATCCTCTTACCAGCAGCATATAAGTGTTGCTATTCTCTGCAATCTTGTCAATATCTATTATATATTTACCTTTTAATCATAGCCATTCTGAGTGGTTTGAGACGGTATCTCATTGTGGTTTTAATTTGCATTTCTCTAATGATTAGTAATGTTGAGCATTTTTTCATGTTTTTTTGACCACTTGTATGTGTTCTTTTGAAAAGTTCATGTCCTTTGTCCGTTTCTTAATGAGTTTGTTTTTTGCTTGTTGATATGTTTCCATTCCTTTTAGATTCTGGATATTAGATCTTTGTCAGATACATAGTTTGCAAATATTTTCTCTCATCTTTTTGTGGGCTGTTTACTCTGTTGATAGCTTCTTCTGCTGTGCAGAAACTCTTTCCATTTAATTAAGCCCAACCTAATTTTTATTTCAGTTGCTTTTGGAGTCTTTGTCATAAAATCTTTGCCTAAGCCTATGCCCAGAATGATATTTCCTACATTTCTTTTAGGGTTTTTATAGTTTTAGGTTTTACATGTGAGTCTTTAATCCACCTTGAGTTTATTTTTGCATATGGTAAAAGGAAGAGGTCTAGTTTCAGTGTTCTGCATGTGGCTAGCCAGTTATCCCAGCAGCATTAACAGAATAGGTGTCCTGAATAGACCTGAATAAACATTTCTCAAAGGAAGACATATAAAGGACCAACAGATATAAGAAAAAAATGCTCAACATCTCCAATCATTGAATTAAAAACAACTAAAACCACAATGAGATATCACCTCATAGTTGTTACATTGGCTGTTATCAAAATGATGAAAGATAATAACTGTTGGCAAGGTTGTGGAGAAAAAGGAATCTTGTACATTGTTGACGATATTGTAAATTAGTAGTTATTTTGGAAAACAGTATGGAGGTTCTTCAAAAAATAAAAAATAGAATTATCATATGATCCAGCAATGCCACTTCTGGGTGTATATCCAAAGGAATTAAAATTAGTATGTTGAAGAGATGTTTGTACTCCTGTGCTTATTGCAGTATTATTCACAATAGCCAAGATATGGAAACAACTGAAGAGGTCAACAGATGGGTTAAAAAATGTAGTCTATGATAGAACGCATAATGGAATAATATTCAGCCATTAAAAAGTAGGAAATTCTGTAATTTGTGACAACATGGATGGACTTAGAGGACATTGAACTAAGTGAAATAAGCAACACACATAAAGAAAAATGCCACATGATGTCACTTATATGTGGAATCTAAAAATGTCTAACTCATAGATGTAGAGAGTAGAATGATAGTTACCAGAGGTTGTGGGGGGGGGTTGTATGTAAAGAGGGCAGGTAAGGAAAAGGAAGACTTTGGTCAAAGGGTACAAAATTTCAGTTAGATGGGAGACTGGGTCTGGTGATCTATTGTACAGCTTGGTGACTATAGTTAATAATAACTATATTAACTAAGTTATGATTGATTATTGAGACATAATATTTTTAATTGACAAATAATAATTGTCAGCCAACCTAACAGCTATAAGGCCATATCTTATTATGGTTTTCAATTGTATTTTATCCAGTGATTAGAGATGATGAGCATTTTTTCTTCTATCTGTTGGTCATTTATATGTCTCAATAATCAATAATGTATTGCCTATTGATTTGATCATTCCAGAATGTATACATATATCAAAACATTACATTGTAACACATAAATATATACAATTACTATTTGTTCAATTAAAAATAAAAAATAAAACCATTCTTATCTATTCAGCAAAAGAAGTCACCAGAGCATCTCTACCAGGCAATATTTCCTTAGCTTATTCACACTCAAGGGGAAGAAAGAAAAATTTACTTAAGAATGTGTTAGGCACAATAATGCTCCACTCTTCTAAGCCCAAATATGCTCCACATCCTAATCCCCAGAAGCTGTGAATGTTATTTTACATGGCAAAAGGGAATTAGATTGCAGATGAGATTCATCTAAGATTGCTTACATTATAACACAGAGATTATCCTGGATTATCCAGGTGGGCAAATTATAATCATGAGAATACTTGAATATGAAAGAATGAGGCAGAATGCAAGAGTCAGAGGGAGATGTGACTACAGAAAATGGCCAAAGAGATTCAAATTTCTGCCTTTGAAGATTAAAGAAGGGGGCCACAAGCCAAGGAATGTGTTTGGCCTCCTGAAGCTGGGAAAGGCAAGTAAACAGATATCACCCTGCAGCTTCCAGAATGGGATGCAGACCTGCTGACACCTTGAGTCTTCCAATGAGACCTGCATGAGACTTCCAATCTGCAGGAGTGTAAGACAATATATTTGTTTTGCTTTAGGGTAATAAAACATGGTAATATTTTTACAGTAGCAATAGAAAACTAATAGGAAATGCTTCTAATATATAACAAACTAGGATAACATCTTTATTTAAAATCTGTACTGAAATAAAAAGTGAAAGATGTGTACAATCTGAAGAGAAACATGAAAGTAAAGATATTTGCATTCCTATGATCATTGCAATATTATTCACAATGGAAAAGATATGAAAATAATCTACATGATGGTCCATATGAATAAAGAAAGTGTGCTGTATATACACAATGGAATACTATTTACCTTCAAGAAAAAAAAGGAGATCTTGCCATTTGCAAGAACATAGATGAACCTAGAGGACGTATGTTCAATGAAATAAGTCAGAGAGAGAAAGAAAAATACTGCATGATCTCACTTATGTGTGGAAGATAAAAAAGAGAAAGAAATCAACTATACAAAAACAAGGAATAGAAAGATGGTTATCAGGAGTGGGAGGGAGGGGAAATCAGAAGATACAGATAAAAGGGTAAAGAGATATCTAAAACGGTAAACAGTTATCTAGAATAAGTTTATAGATCCAATGTACCACATGATGACTCTAGTTAATAATACTGCATTATGTACAGACATTTGCTAAGAGAGTAGATTTTAGGTGATCTTATGTGGTAAGATATGAGTGTATGAACATTTATGTGCACACACTCACATAAATGGTAACTGAGACAATGGATATGTTAATTTATTCAACTGTAGTAGTCACCTCACCATGTATTTCTATATATACATATATATATATAAACATTCTGTATATGTTAAATGTATGGTTATGTGCTGCATAATGATGTTTTTAGTCAATCGACCACATATATGATGGTGGTCGCATAAGATTGCAATTAAGCTGAAATATTCCTTTTGTCTAATGACATCATAGCCATTGTAATGTAATGTCATAGCACAACATTTTCCTCACGTGATGATGCTGGTGTGAACAAAACTGCTCCATGGTCAGTTCTGTAAAAGTATTCCATATACAATTATATACGGTATATAATACTTGATATTAAAAACAAACAGCTATGTTACTGGTTTATGTATTTACTATACTATACTTTTTATTGTTAGAGTGTACCTCTACTTATGTTTCTAAAAAGTTCACTGTAAAACAGCCTCAGGCAAGTCCTTCAGGAGGTATTCCAGAAGAAGATATTGTTATCACAGGAAATGACAGCTCCATGCATGTTATTGCCCCTGAACACCTTTCAGTGGGACAAGATATAGATGTGGAAGACAGAGCTATCGATGACCCTGACTTTGTGTAAACTAATGAGTGATTTTGTATCTTAGTTTTTATCAAAAATTATTAATATTTAAATTTAGAATTGACACATAATAAATACACTTAGTTATGGAGTTGTATTTGTCCATTTGGCTAACTACAAAGAAATACCCCAGACTGAGTAACTTTAAAGAAAAGAGATTTAATTGGCTCACAGTTCTGCAGGCTGTACTGGAAGCATGCATGGCTTCTGGGAAGGCCTCAGGAAGCTTGTACTCATGGTGGAAGGTGAAATGGGAGCAGGCACATCACATAGCAAGAGTGGAAGCCAAATAACAAAGGAGTAGGTGCCACACACTTTAAATTACCAGATGTAGTGAGCATTCAATCTATCATGAGGACAGCACCAACCCAATGAGATGAGGGATCGGCCTTCATGACCCAAACCCCTCCCACCAGATGCCCTCTTCAAAATTGGGGATTACCTTTCAACATGAGATTTGGAGAGGAAAACCATTCAAACTGTATCAGGAGTACAGTGTGACATTTCAGTGCATGTGTACTTTGCATGAGATGAAATCTCATGTCTATCACTTTAAACATTTATTATTTCTTTCTGGTGACAACACTCAAAATCTTTTCCCGGAGCGATCTTGAAATATACACAACACTGTTATTTTCACTTTACTCTGAAATAGAACACCAGAATTTATTTTTCCTGTCTAACGTAATGTTTTACTCATTGACCAATCTCTCTCATTCCTTGCTCCCCACACTGCACCTGCCTCTGTTAATCATCCTACTCCCCATTTCTATGAAATCAATTAGATTCCCATATGAGTGAGAACATTCATTGTTAGTCTTTCTGTGCCTGGCTTATTTCACTTTACATAATGTCCTTCAGGTTCATTCATGTTGCCACGAATAAAGGAGTTTCATTCTGTTGTAAGGCTGAATAGTATTCCATTGTGTGTGTATGTGTGTGTGTGTGCGTGTGTGTGTGCACGCACAACACATTTTCCTTACCCATTCATCTGTACATGGGCATTTAAGTTGATTCCGTATCTTGGCTATTGTGGATGGAAAGGTGCTGCAATAAAAAACATAAGAGTGCAGATATTTCCTTAACATACTGATTTCATTTCCTTAGGACATATACTCAGTAATGAAACTGTTGGATCATATGGTAGCTCTATTTTTAATTTTTTGAGGAACGTCCACACTGTTTTCCGTAATGACTGTGATAATTTACATTCCCACCAACAGTGCATAAGAGATCTTTTTCCACATCCTGTCTGCATTTATTGTCTTTTTGATAATAGCCATTCTAAATGGGGTGAGGTGATATCTCATTGTAGTTTTGATTTGCATTTTCCCAATGATTAGTAATGTTGAGGATTTTTTATGTATCTGTTGACCATTTTTATGTCTTCTTTCAAGAGGTACGTGTTCAGGTCTTTTGCTCATTTGTTAATTGAATTATTTGCTTTTTTGCAATTCAGTTGTTTGAGTTTCTTATGTATTTTAGGTATTAACTCCTTACAGATGCATAGCTTGCAAATACTTTCTCCCATTCCATAGGTTGTCTCTTCACTGTATTGATTGTTTCCTCTACTGTGAAGAAGCTTTTAAGTTTGTTGTAATTCCATTTGTCTATTTTTGCTTTTGTTTTCTGTGTTTGGGGGTCTTATTCAAAAGTTTTAAAAGTAAAAATTTAAAAATAGGAGAAAGTTTATAGAATAAGAATATAATATAAAGAAAGTAAATACTTTTGTACAGCTGTATAGTGTGTTTGTATTTTAAGCTAGCTGTTATTATAAGAGTCCAAAAGTTAAAAAATATTATATAAAGTAAAAATATTACAATAAGCTAAAGTTAATGTATTATTGAATAAAGAAAAAATATTTTTTATAAATTTTGTATAGCCAAATATATAGTGTTTATAAAGTCTACTGTAGTGTATGGTAATGTCCTATCATTTCAAATTTACTACTCCTTACTCACCCAGAACAACTTCCAGTCTTGCAAGCTCCATTTGTGGTAAGGACCCTACAGAGATGTACCATTTTTATACCATATTTTTACTGCCTTCTTTTTTATTATTTAGATGTGCCAATATTTACCATTGTGTAAAAATTGCCTATAGTATTTAGCACAGGCTTATAGTCTAGGACCACTAAACTATACCACCTAGACTAGTTATGTTGTAGCCTATATTATTCAGTTTTATGTAAGTACATTCTATGATGTTTGCACAACAAGGTAATTGCCTAAGGATCGATTTCTCAGAAATATCCCTGTCATGAAGTGACAGAAAAATCATATACAATAATAAATAGAAAAGAAACAGAAAGACAGAGAGAAGGAAGGAAGGAAATGAAGGAAAGGAAGAAAACAAAAGGAAAGGGAAAGGGAAAAGGAAAGGAAAGGAAAGAAGAAATGAAGAAAAGAAGAAGCTCAATGGAGTTAAAAGAACAGGAGAGCAGAGTACATCATGCTGCTTATATTTAGCAAGAGATAGAGCAATAGCAGTAAAAGAATGCTTAATAAAAAGGCATTAACAGGTTGGGTGTGGTGGCTTATGCCTGTATTCTCAGTACTTAGGGAGGCTGAGGTGGGCAGATCACTTGAGGGCAGAACTTCAAGACCAGTCTAGCCAACATGGTGAAACCCTGTGTCTACCAAAAATACAAAAATTAGCCAGGCAGGGTGGCACAGTCCTGTAATCCCAGCTACTCGGGAGGCTGTGGCACAAGAATTGCTTGAGCCTGGGAGGCAGAGGTTACAGTGGCCTGAGATCGTGCCACTGCAGTCCAGCCTGGGCAACAAAGCAAGACTCTATCTCAAAATAAATAAATAAATAAATAAATAAATAAATAAATAAATAAATAAATGTATGTATGTATGTTAAAAAAGGCATTAACATACACAAACATCCTTAACACTCGTATCTGCAGCCTGCGTATTTAGCCTTTTACTACTTAACAACAAACATGCAACAAACATGAAACATCATAAAGATTTTGAATAGCTAAGTATCCTACTATTAACCAGAAAATTTTCTAAATGCTATTGTTCAGTTGTATTAAGTAAATACTTTTGCATTTCATTGAGTAATACAGTGACATACTTCGCCAAATTCACAGAGATAGCCAGGCACAACTGGAACCTCATGACTGTGTCCATTCCATTTAGTCCCTTATATTGAATGGGCTAGTTGGTTATCATATCTAAATTACATAATGTATTTAGGAAGAATAATCTAAACAAATTATATATTCATTTACCATCCTTTCTATACCTGATTTACAACAGTAAGAACAAATCATTTAGGCAGAATAATCTAAACAAATTATATATTCATTTACCATCCTTTCTATACCTGATTTACATCAGTCAGAACAAATCATCTTCCCTCCTGATTTGCTCATTGTATAGCAGGGGTAGGAGAGGAAATGGGTTCTAATGAGTCATCAGACTTAAAACTTATTAATAGTAACTAAAGCAGTACATATATGTCAGCAGAAAGTGTACCTTGAAAATTACAGGGAACAGACATTATACAAAACAACTTAATGTTAAATTTAAACTATAGATAATCACTAGACAGTGGGTTCAATATGGGAATCTAAAGCTAAGCATCCAAGTCTTTAAATTTTTTTTTTTTTAGACAACTACTAAACACTGGAGTAAAATTAAAGAAACTAAAGTTAGAAAGTAATCAACACTATGTTTTTTCTTTTAATTGAAAAGGAAAATGCAGTTCTGGTTTAGCAACTATGGCTTAGAATTTCTTTTAATTCCCCCCTCCCCCTTCCATTTTAACAAGCTTCTTCATTTAGCTGGTAGAGGTAACTAGTAATGCAAGCTTGAATTAACACACAAAAAGACATTATCAAAAAGCACTGCATTCTCATTTATGATATCAAAATTATATTTTTTAATTCAAATTAAAATAAAGGTATTTAGCCTTCCTAGAAATAGGTTTGTTGTGTTTTGATCTTTGTGTATTCTTTATGATTTCCTAGATATTTTCTCTCCACTCCATTAGTTTCATAATGAATTTTTTGCTTCATGATTATTCATTTCAGCACAGATCAATGTTTTATCTTAATAGATAGGTTTAGAAATTTCATACTTTAAACATCTCTGCTTTGCTCAGTGTTTTTAAAATACAATTTTTGTTTCTACCAATCAACATCCTATCCTTCCTTCCCACCAAAGGAAAAAATATGGAGAAGAGATGTATGAAGGTCATCACTGAAGAGTCATAAACCATTGTAAATAATGTCAAAACTATAATTTAATTAGTGCCCCATCTGTCACTTTCTGTTTGACGAGCACTAAATGTCCAATTATCATTTAATATCTTCTCTAATCAGTTCTGGCAAATTTTGCAGGCACACAAGAGATGACATTAATAGATGAAAGTGAGGCTACTCTTGCCACATTATCAGAAAGAAATTTTGAGCAGCACTGACTTACGATGGGGAAGGTAAGAATTTATTCCAATTAGTGGTAGCATTTTATAACAATAAAGTTGTGGGGTGTGTAAAACAAAGAATTTTCTTTGTTCTCTCAAGAAGTTAATGAAATAGCCCTACATGTAATTCTGTAGAAATTCTTGTATAGATTCCAATATTTCAAAAAAGCTAGTTATGTACTCAACCATCTTTGACGCAGTGTCTTTGAAAGCCATCTACTTCTGGAGTAGTCTTTTGCCTTTTGTAAACTAGTTTTTCCTCAAAGGCATTGTTTGTATACAATGCATCCCTAGGGAGTTTTGTAAGGCAGAGCATACGCTGAATCAATTTTGGACATTGTCTCTTATAAAACGAAAACATGATTCACTCAGAGACTCTTTACCTAAACATAATAAAACTGTAACTTTTACCTAATTTATGGGGCAGGGAAATTAACTGAACTCTCACAAATTTGTTTTCTATTGCCCCCACAAAAAATTACAACAGCATTCCATTTCTGGCTGTGACTGAGAATTTGGTTTAATTTGAAAAAAATGGAACCGTAACCCAAAGGCTTTTACCTGTTGTCAAATTATTAAAGGCAAGTAATAACCCATGCTCCATTCTTATCACTATTAACATTTTTCCTTGTGATTATTCTTTTACTTTCTTTTAAGATGAGAAAAAAATAGACTTTTATTCTTGACTGAATAGGTAAAAACCATCAAGAAATGTCAGATTTTCCAGAGAATAATTTCAACAGAGAAGATTGCTCTACATACAAGAAACTGAGGCCAAGAGAGTTGATTGACTTGCTTAACACTGAAGCAAGCATATTAGCAATTTTAAATGACATTTTCCTATAATGTTTTATATTATGTATAAATATTCATATAATCAGAATTCAGTATAAGGTATGTATCTTAAAGATTAAAAAAAAAAAAAAAAAACCCTGAACTCTAGTCAACCAAAAGTAACAAGAAAATATATTCATTCAACATGTATTTTGTAGCTGAAATGCTGGATGTTTTAGCCAGAAGATAATGGGGTTAATTTAATTTGGATTCTAAATGGTAAATTTTGAGTTTGAATTTGGAGAAGCAAGTCACTTCATTTAGAATTATGGTATAATTGATTGGTTCCTGAAAAAGAAATCTTAATTTAAAAAACAGAGTTTTAGATCATATAGGCCATCTGTATATGTTTTTGAAGTAAATATCTGTGAAATATTTGACACATTCTAACAAGATCCCCTGCAGTCTTTTGAGCCTCTTCCTCCTCCAGCCGTGCCTCTCATCTTTTAACCTCTAATGTATATACTTAAATGGAAAAGGATCAGACAGTCATGTCTATGGTCCTATAATCTGAAAAATAATAAGCAAATTATCAAACAAAATCTTATGTAGCCTCAAATACAAATATTTATAATCACATGAGAAATTAACAGTTATTCGCTATTGATTGAAAATTGACTTATTAGGTTTTTCTAATATGTGTTTTCATTAACGAGCAGTAGAGACTTTTCCTGGCCGTCTTTTTCCTTAATGAGAAAGTACACGTCATAGGAAATTTTGGGCCCGGTCACAACTTTCTAAGTGAAGTGACTTGCTTCTCCACAAAAAAATGACCCCTTCTATAAAAATGCTCTGAGGAAACTGACACTATCTGCTGCCTGGTAGTTGCTAATAAGAAAAAGAAAGGTTTTTGACAAGTCTTCCCCAGTGATCATGACTAGAGATTTAAAATGAAGCTCCTTACCTTATAGTATAAGTTATATTTCTTGTGGGAAAAATATCATTGCTAATACATTTATATCCCTAAAAGTTTGAAGCCAAGATCGGACTGATGGATTGTGGATTGAGTTCAGCAAAACTTTTTTAGGCTGTTGTGCTTCTGTTTGACTCCCATTTATCCTGCCTACCCTAAAAGACAATTTGGTTTAAAGTATTTAAGAACAGAATCTTGTATTCTGTGACTTTGGCAGAGAAAGGAGAAAGGGGGTTGTACCGCTAGTGTACATGAGGGTGAGTTCTCATTATGTGCATCTCTGTGTGTATCCTTCGACTTATAACTTGAAAAACCTTCTAAGCTTATGAGCCAGAACTTCTATTGTCAGATTTGTAAAACCCTAGCAGGAAGATCCAAAGTCACAACTAAAGGGAATTCTATTCTTTTTCAAAAAAGGTAAAATCAAGCAGCAAATTTAAATGCCAAAGTAATCTTTCCTCACAAGAACAGTTTAATATATAAGCTCTATTCTAGGAGATGGAATATTATTAATCCAAAATGCCACCATTACATTGCATCCTTCAAAGAGCAGCCTCAATTTCAAAAATATAGTGTGGGACTCTGTGAAAAATATTTCTAGACTCTTAACCCTACATTATGAAATGGATTTTAAGTATTTGGAGCCAAGGAGCTCATTCAGCTAACTCATCAGTATGTGTTTCTATTCCTTAAATAGTCATATTTGAAATATCTTTCCCAAATATTGGGGAGCAGGTAAAAGGACACTCCCCTAACTAGCAAAAAAGCATGGGTTTCACCTTGGCTTGGAAGTCTCTGGTCACTTCTGGGTCTGTTGCCAGAGGAGCATCACCTTTATAAGCAAAGAGCACCTGTCAGAGACCAAAAGATGTACAGATAGAAACCTCTACTTTTTGTACTGGTTCACTCACTAGCTTTTACGTTCAGCTCCTCATGTTAACTTCCTGCCCATTTATTCACGTAAGACTAAGTGGATTACATATGGGAAACTAGACAAAATATCTATGGTGTGTCACAGAGCTGCAAACTCCTAAGAATGGGATATGTGGTTTCTGCTGTGTCTGATCTCAGTGTTTCCAGAGACTGGTAATTTCCAGAGAGTTATCATGGGAGGTGAGCGCTTTAGAAGAGGCTAGAGCCCGTAAATCAATAACCCTTAATTTCACTCTCCCTGAAAAGTGTCAAGTTGTCTCACAATCAGAATCACTTCAATTCTCTGTAGGCTATTGCATACTAATAATAACTAATTAAACACATATTTAAATCAGAAAACCAAATAACTCAGTAGACAAAGTGTCAAGAGAGGGCATTTCTCAATTTTCTAAAGTTCCATGAACTCTAATTAAGACCTCTGAAAATCTATATCATTCTGTAAATTTACTCTGAAATTTTAATGACTTAAACTTTGTGTGGTTATTCATTTGCAGAAAAGAAGTACCTAAGAAAAAGAGAGCTTGTGGGTAACCATCTGAAATATTCATTTCTTAATAATCTCCAGTCAAAGCCAAACTTTTTGCCTCTCCAACAAAACAAAAAATTAACTGAATGGAAACAGCGTCAATATAAAAACACTATAGTACCCTTTTCTAAAAGATAGACTATCAAGGCATGCAATGTAAATGTTCGAAAATATTCTCCCAACTCTTACATTTAAGGAAAAATATAAAGCTTAAATATTCAGGCTATGATTTTATCTCAATATGACCTAATATAACCCCAAAATCATCAAGATAGCCCTACAAAGAGGTGAGTTCAACTAATGTAACACATTTCACAATAACATTATAAATGTTCAGTGCAATAGTTTTGTTGTCATTATGTGTTTGAATTAACTCTTTAAAACTCAGAAATGTGCTAGTTAATATATTTCTGCTTCTTTATATGTAACGATGTCCCAAGAGCCTGAAAAAAAATAACAGAGCTTCAGTGGAAGGTCATCTGACTATACCTACAGGAAGTAACACAGTGAGCAAACAAATCTGACTCCTGGTTTAAAATCTAGGGTGGATCACTTTGGATTTGTAAATACTAAGCTCTCACAACCCTGAACTTCACTGTCTGATCCAGCACCAAAACTTATTTCCAAGTTCCCAAGAAAGCCAGAGGTAATTTGACCCATTCACAGAGAGGATTACCAACACAGTGCAAACACTGAAAAATTTGCATGAACAAGTACAGTAAATAATATTGCCTCATTAAAATTCAAGCTGTGGCTTCTAAACCAGATGGGTTAGCAAAAATATCTACATAGCTCATGAAGGAAAATAGCCTATTTGCATTAAGAAAAAAAAATCTAGAGTTTAGACAACATTCTGTAAAGCAAAAATATCTTGATTATAATCATGAACATTTTACCTTAAAGAAACACAAACCCTATTTATTTTCATATAAATGTATACTTTTGAATTGAGTATAATTTTATCAGATTGAAAAATTATTTACCTTGCGAGAAATAGGAAACAAAAATGTAAAAGGCTTTTTTACTTTTTCAATATTAATTTTAATGGTCTAAATTAAATGACTCTGACTTGTGCAAATTAAAACTAAACCAAATGGGTAATGAGTATCATGCTTTATCAATGTGAATATTCTTAATGTAATGAAAGAACTATAAAAGCAAGATGCTTTTTATTCAGTGTGCTCATCAATCATTACCTTATACTCAGTGATGGCATGCATATTTGTAGGAAAATTTTGAAAAAAGAGATTGACAATTTTTGGAAAACAAGATAAGGATAACTGGGAAATGGGAATTTTCCTTCATATTTTTAGCAAGAAACCTACATTTGTTATTTTTATTTTGTTAATATGAAAAAATATGTGAAATTTTTACAAACAATTCTATTATATTGAAGCTTTAAAGAAGTTTCTCTGAAACAAGCTCAGCAACAAGATCCACTCTGAGCCTCTTTTTCATGCTTTTAAAGATAAAACATATATAAATGTAATTTTTAAACATATTTTAATGAGGCGATTTCAATGATATGAATAAGCAAATAAAATTAACATTTTAAGCTGTGCCTAGCATATCCCCCATTTAATTTGTTTTGGGTATTAAGTCACAGTTTAATCAATAATGCAATAATTTGGATATGATTTTAACAGCTAAATGGAATGCTTAACTTTTGTCTCTTCAATATAGATTTTGCCTATACATGGAAATATCTCTGCTTTTCCCCACACGAAATAAATCCCAATAAGATACAAAGCATATATAAGATAAGTTTAAGTGATAATGAGATAGGAATAATATAAGTTGGTTGCAGGAGAATAGAAAATTCCAGGCAGCAGTTTCATGTAACTAGTGAAAGGAAACTGTTGAAATAGTCATAGAAGCTAGGAGCTGATGAGACCCTGAAAAACCAGGGTATGGCCCAAGCTGGCTAAGACTGACTGGACCCAACATGGCATGGATTTGACCTAGGTTTCATCTAGGACGTCATTATATGCTCATTAACATATTAAATCACACATTCACTAGCACCATGACAGTTCCAGGCACACCCATATTTGGTGTAAAAATGGGTGGCACCACAATTCCAAGACACCTCTACCTTTTTCCAGGAACCTTCGTGAATATTCCACCCCTTGGTTAAAAAAACCCATAAAAGTAGAAACCCCAAACTCCACTGTGCAACTCTCTCGAGTACACCCGCCCTCTCGTTTCTTGAATGTGTACTTTTCACTTTACAATCTCTGTACTTTCAGTATTTGCCAACCCATCCTTTAATTCATTTTCGAGATGGTGACAAGAGCCTGGACACTGGCTGGGGTGGGGTCCCCCTGACATTCAAGGACTTCCCCCAGCCAACTGGTATCAATAACAGGTTATTGCTATATTAATAATTATTTGTCAACTACTTTCAGCTAGGCATTGCTCTGGGCACTGGGAATAAAATAGTAAATGAGAGCGATCAACTCCTCTCCTTCATGAAGCTTATAGTCAAGCCTCCACTCTGATTCCCACTTGCCCTTTACACTATGAAAGCTCTTTTAATGATTTTTTATTTTTTAAACTGAGTCCTCCAGAAGAAAATTTGCAATATAGAAAAAAATATATTTATTTTAAGGGTAACATAATTGCTATTTGTAAACTGTTTTACTTCATGCAAATTAATTTTGTCATTTTTCCCATTCACAATTAGGGAAATTATTTATCTTTGTTTGGGTGGGGACTAGAATTACTTGCATAATACTTTGTTTTTGCATAACTTCATTTGGCCACAAGGGCAAATGATTTTTATATACAAGAAGCATAAACCACACAACAGTTCAAATGCTAAATGAATACAAAAATAAAAATATACCCAAAACTCAAGTGTGAACTATGCATGATATGGTCAATTTCACGTCTTGAGTTTCTATATTCTAATTTTAAAAATGTAGGAATATCTCCTTCATTCAAAAACTGCAGTAGGCCATTCAATTGAATGAAAAGAAGATACCCGTAATCAACTTACCTATTAATAAGAGCTGTCAGTCTAAACATTTTAAGGAAAAGGGGCAATGAAGATAAAACACATATATATTAAGTGTACTATTTTTGGTTTGGGAAACTGTAATTTTTGTGGAATAGTTAAAGTGTGTATCTGTTATTTTATATCCAATAAGGAAAAACATGATCACCATCTGAAACCATTTTAGTGTATTTTTTAAGAAAACATGCTTTTTACCCAATTATTTACTGAAATAGGCATATAATGAAAATGGAAAGAGACACATGGGAACTTACATCTTAAACACTGGCAAGTTTTCTACATTCCTACATTAATAAAAGAACTACCCATTTGTGTGAGTGTAGGCCTACTCTTGGTCTGTGAATTCATTACCATCTCCAGCTGTTACCGTTAAGAAAAAAGTCCCCAAATTTGTCTTTTTACACAAACAATTAAAAATAATGATATTCTTGTTTCTTTTTCCTTTTACTGACCTTTTAAGTTCTTCATAGGTCCTTTCTTATCCTTTGTCTCCTCTCCCCTTATAGTGCTGTGACATCACCAGGTAATACACACACTTGTGTCCATTGCCGTCTACATATCTCACCTCCCATTTCCCTAAATTTCACACATCAAAAACTATCTGGTAAGTCTTTCATTCTCTATGAGTCTTTAAAATGACTGATATGTTAATGTCTTACACATTTAAAAGAAAGTGTCCTACAGAGCTTTAGAGCAGGCTATGAATTATGTTCATTGTCTGGAATCCACACAGTCTCTCATCTTCCCTGAAATTATTGCAGCAGCAGTAGAGGCGAGAGTAATGTTTTAATTTTGAAGTGATCTTCCAATCCTTAGAAACAAAACTGAACTATCAGAGACTAAATTTTGAGTTCCATATACCCTGTCCTGCATTTTTGGTTGTGGATCAGAAGAGAGTAACAAAGAGGAAGGATTAAAAACAAATACAATAAATTTTTTATTGTGCCTGGAACAATTGTGCTAATGACTTTTGTCTTCCCGGTTTCCATTTGTCTTGAGTTTTAAAAAAATCAATATAATGAGAGTGTATTTGCATATGTAGAAGGCCCTGTCTGTTGAAAATGGTTCAGAAAAGAAGATAATGTAAATTGTCCTGATGTTCCCCCCCTTCCTACGTCTTTCAATTAATCGTATGTATTCACGTACATAAAATTTTAAAAGTATGAAATTTGCATTTCAATAAAATACCTTAAATTGGTCTTACTACAGAGTCAATGAAAAAAATTTAAATCATCCAATATATTATTATAATAGGAAACTTCCCATGGGAGAGGGTGATCATAAAGTTGAGAACAATTAGGATTAATTGAATTACTGAGCAATAAAAGCAGACACAGGACTATCTGAGCAACATACAAAAGAGTAGCAATATGCCCTTCTAAGAGAAGGCCTTGGCATCCAGAAACAGAAGACTGAACTAAAAGCATACAAGCTCACAAATTTTTAAGAGGGAAAGGAAATACTCTTTTGATAGATTCAAGTGAGCTGTGAAGATCACCAAGATAATTGAAGTGTTTTTGAAAATTATGTTGCTCTCATTGGTAGTGTCTCAGAGCCAGTATACAACACTAAAAGATTATATCCAAACAGTCCCAATATTTCCTCAGCCCCAATTCTTCTTCATGTTATTGATATTCACTGCATTCATATTAATCATGCATAGGTTTCCATGGGACAAATCGTTGCTATCCCGCTTCAAATTTTAAATAACCCATTTGATGTCATTAATTTGTAGAGAGAAGTTATAAAATGTTATCCATTTATATATAAATAAACTTTCTGGTAAGCTTAGAACAAAAAAGGATATGTCCTTACATTTCACAAAGTAGGTTCATTACTTCCAATATAAAACTGTGTTCAAGAAAATGAAGACAACATTCAAACACCAGGAAATGTGTGGGCTGGAAATATGATGAGCACAGTTTTGAACGATTTGCTGGACACTTTCTTGTTTACCTTATCTACTGCAATGTAATCAGAACTAGTAGTCAAGAAAATGTGAATTATAAAGCCCTTCTCACAATTAAAACAAACAAAATATTTAGACAAAAATGAAGAAAATGATGGCTGCCAAACCATTTGCCTTACAGACATGTGTACAAATTGATCATTTTCCTGTCTAGCTATTTTGGTTGTATAGAATAAGGACAAATAAATGATAGTTAACAATATTTAGTATTTGTTATTTTAGACATGTTAGATCTTATGAAATACCTTATGTTTTAGTCTGAAGGGAAACATTTACATTTTAGGAAAAAATTTATAGCTAAACAGAATTAAAAATATTTTTTTCTAATAGGAACTTGGGTAAAATATGGAGTCAAAAAGCTGTGAGTAAAAACTTAGAATACTAAGCAGATTAGCAAGAAGGCATAGTGAAAAGAAAATGTGAATAAGTGAATGATAAAAGAAGGCGGAATTAATAGCAAATGCCTATGTAGTGCTCACTATATGTCAGGGAAGGCTACCAGGGTGCACGCGCACGTGTGTGTTTGTATGTGTGTGTGAGTGTGTGAGTGTGCGCGTGTGCATTCCTAATAGGAAACTTACTATTCTCATTTGCATCTAAGGAAATCAAAGTAGAGAGATAGTCACTAACTATCTGCTCATTGATGTAGAGTTGGAATCAAATCCAGGAAGCTGACTCCTGTGTATGTGGTTTTATTCACTATAATACACTGCCCTTTAAGTAATGCTATTAGAGAGGATTTATAAAAGAGAATTTAGAAAAGCCAAGGAAACAGAAAAATATGAAAAACTCAAATGTGACTTTGGGATTCATTTTTGAGACAAGAAAAGTAGTTAATATCCCTCACCATAAGGCAATGCTAATGTTGTATCAGTATCAAAGAAAGGACAGGAGAATTTTCCTTTCTCTTTGAAATTCAATTTATGATGTCCAATGCTGTAAATATCCAGCAGCAATAGCTGTGCTCTATAAATATTTAATACAAATGAAGTCATAAGTATAACTCAGACTAAATGCTAATTAAAAAATATAAAGAAGTTTGGTAGTTATTTCCCCCCCACCCCCAAACTACCAGATGGTGTTTAATAGGTATATGTGACTATATTTAAGAATGGCATAATTTAAATAATAATTCAAAAGTAATTTGTCAGTTATAGTAAGCAGCGTTCTATTTACTATAGTATAGAATAGTATAGTATAGTATAGAATCTATAGTAAAGATTCTATGACTTTTATCACAGTCCGTTTACTAGATAGCTCTCCTTTAATTTTCTACTTTACTACCAAGGTTCTTGCCTCTGGTTTACTAATTCTAAACTATTAAATTTTGCTGTTATGGCCTTGAGAAAACATAATATATAAACCACAGAGAGCTTTAAGGAAGCTAGACTTAACTACAAGCAACCTAAAAGGGCTCCAATCATCTTAATAATTATTATTTAACTAACGTAAAATAATAATCCCAAAGATAGAAAATCATCTCACAAAATAATCTTAAGTTGAAGACATAGGAATACATGTAATCAGTTAAACATCCAAAAGATGTTAACTAATATCAATAACATGCCACACAGGTTCAACATAATTGGGCTGAGATTAACCAAGTGTAATTGTTTTAGTTATTGGTTATCCCTGTTCTATCAGTTGTTAAGAAGTATTTATATATGTTTATGCGTGTGTGCATATGGGTGTATTTTATGGATTTCTGAATTTTTAAAATCAATTTTATCTTTAGCTGAGCTTCTTGAACCATAAACATACCATGTTAGTTCACTAAATTAGTAACAGCTTATATATAAATTCGAATTAATGTCTACCAAGTTGATTGAGTACACACTGAATTCTTTTTTTCTTTTCTTTTTTTTTTTTGAGATGGAGTTTTGCTCTTGTTGCCCAGGCTGGAGTGCAACGGTGCAATCTCGGCTCACGGCAACCTCCGCCTCCTGGGTTCAAGAGATTCTGCTGCCTCAGCCTCCTGAGTAGCTGGAATTACAGGCATATGACACCAAGCCCAGCTAACTTTGTATTTTTAGTAGAGACGGGGTTTCTACATGTTGGTCAGGCTGGTCTCGAACTTCCGACCTCAGGTGATCCACCTGCCTTGGCCTCCCAAAGCACTGGGATTACAGGTGTGAGCCACCATGCCCATACCACAATGAATTTCAATGAGTAAGACTTTATGTATAACACAGTTTTGTTTTTCAAAAGTAAATAATTTGATAGCTTTTCTTTATTATTTCTTTAGTTGAAATAATAGGTTGAATTTGGTTTTCTGAGGCTTCTACCTGTATTATAACTAAAATAATGCAAATTCTTATTGAAAAATAGGATATAATTTTTTTAATCTTTCAAAAACTTTGTTTGGATTTTTGTTGATATATAGTGGGTGTATATATTTATGGAGTACATGAGATGTTTTGATACAGGCATGCAATGCTTAATAATCGCGTAATGGAAAATGGGATATCCATCCCCTCAAGCATTTATCCTTTGTGTTACAAACAATCCAATTATAGTTTTTTTATTTTAAAATGTACAATTAAATTATTATTGTCTATAGTCACTCTGTTGTGCTATAAAATACTAGGCGTTATTGTTTGTAACTATGTTTTGTACTCAATAACCACTCTCACACCTCTCCCCACACTGCCTCACTTCCCTTCCCAGCCTCTGGTTACCATCCTTCTACTCTCTTACTCCATGAATTCAGTTGTTTTGATTTTTAGATTCCACAAATAAATGAGAACATGCAATACTGAATAGTACTCCATTGTGTATGAGTACAACTTTATTCATTCATCTGTTGATGGACACAGGTTGCGTCCAAATTTTGGCTATTTTGAACGGTGCTTCAACAAACATGGGAGTGCTGTGCAGAAGGTTTTTTTTTTTTTTTTTTTTTTTTTTTTGAGACGGAGTCTCAGTTTGTCACCCAGGCTGGAGTGCAGTGGCACAACCTCTTCTCTCGGCTCACTGCAAGCTCCACCTCCCGGGATCACGCCGTTCTCCTGCCTCAGCCTCCCCAGAAGATTTTTAACTTGATGTGATCCCATTTGCTCACTTTTGCTATGGTTGCCTGTGCTTGTAGGGTAGTGCTCAAGAAACTTTTGACCAGACTAATTTGTGAGAGAGATTCCCTGATGTTTTCTTGTGGTAGTTTCATAGTTTGAGGTCTTAGATTTAAGTCTTTGGTCGATTTTGGATTGATTTTTGCATATGGCTATTTTGTATATATCTTCATTTTTCTTCATATGGATATTCGGTTTTCCCAGCACCATTATTGAAGAGACTGTCTTTCCACCAGTATACGTTCTTGGAACATTTGTTGAAAATGAATTTGAGGTAAATGTGTGGATTTGTTTCTGGGTTCTCTATTCTGTTTCATTGGTCTGTGTATCTGTTTTTATGCCAGTACCATGCTGTTTTGGCTCCTATAGCTCTGTAGTATAATTTGAAGTCAGGTAAAGTGATTCCTCTCATTTTATTTTTTGCTTAGGATAACTTTGACTATTCTGGGTCTTGTGTTGTTCCATATACATAGAAGGATTGTTATTTTTTATTTCTGTGAAGAATGTCATTGGTATTTTTATAGGGATTTCATTGAATGTGTAGATTGCTTTGGGTAGTATAGATATTTTAACAATATTGATTCTTCTAATCCATGAACATTGAATATCTTTTCATTTTTTTTGATGTCCTCTTCAATTTCTTTTATTATTGTTTGATAGTTTTTATTATAGAGACCTTTGCATTTTTGGTATTTAATTCTTAGTAATTCTTAGGTATTTACTTTTATTTGTGGCTATTTTAAATGGGATTACATTGTTATTTCTTTTTCAGACTGTCTGCTGTAGCATAAAGAAATGCTACTGCTTTTCATATGTTGATATTATATCCTGCAACTTTACTGAATTAGTTTATCAGTTCTAAAAGGGTTTTATGTGTGAAGCTTTTAGGCTTTTGTAAATATAAGATCATATCATCTACAAACAAGAATATTTTTACTTCTGTCTTTCCAATTTGGATACATTTTATTTCTTTCTCTTGCCTGACTGCTCTAGCTAGGGCTTCCAGTGCTATGTTGAATAACAGTAGTGAATGTGGGAACCCTTGTCATGTTCCAGAACTTAGTGGAAAGATTTTCAGTTTTTTGCCATTTAGTATGATCCTAGCTGTGGTCTGTCATATATGACTTTTATTATGTTGAGGAGATATGTTCCTTCTATAATGTTGTTGTCGGCTTCTTATTATAGGGGAATATTGATTTTTATCAAATACTTTTCAGAATCAATTGAAATGATCAAATGGGCTTTGTCCTTCATTCTGCTCATATGATATATCACATTGTTTGATGTGCATATGTTGAACCATCCTTGCATTCCATGAATAAATCACACTTGGTCATGATGAATGATCTTTTTAATGTATTGCCATATTCAGTTTGCTAGTATTTGTTGAGGATTTTTGCATCAATATTCATCAGAGATACTGGCCTATAATTTCCTTTTTTGAATGTGTCTTCATCTGGTTTTGATATCAGGGTATTACTGGCCTTGTAGAAGGAGTATGAAAGTACTCCATACTCCTCTGCTTTTTGGAATAGTTTAAGTAAAATTGGTATTACTTCTTCCTAAAATGTTTCACAGACTTCAGCTGTGAAGCCATCAAGTGCTTGGCTTTTCATGACTAAGAGGATTTTGTTTTGTTTTGTTTTGTTTTGTTTTTTTGAGACGGAGTCTTGCTCTGTTGCCCAGGCTGGAGTGCAGTGGCATGATCTTGGCTCACTGCAACCTCTGACTCCCTGGTTCAAGTGATTCTCCTGCCTCAGCATCCTGAGTAGCTGGGATTACAGGCATGCACCACCACACACAGCTAATTTTTGTATTTTTAGTAGAGATGGGGTTTCACCATGTTGGTCAGTATGGTCTTGATCTTCTGACCTCATGATCCACCTGCCTTGGAGTTCCAAAGTGCTGGGATTACAGGTGTGAGCCACCATGCCCGGCCAAGATTTTTTTTTTTTTTTTTCAGATGGAGTCTTGCTCTGTTGCCCTGGCTGGAGTTCAGTGGCACAATCTTGGCTCACTGCCAGCTCCGCCTCTTGGGTTCACATCATTCTCCTGACTCAGCCTCCCAAGTAGCTGGGACTACAGCCACCCACCACGTCGGGCTAATTTTTTGTATTTTTAGTAGAGACAGGGTTTCACCATGTTAGCCAGGATGGTCTTGATCTCCTGACCTCGTGACCCACTGCCTCGGCCTCCCAAAGTGCTGGGATTACAGGCATGAGCCACCGTGCCCAGCCCCAACTGAAATTTTTACTACAGCTTTGATTTCATTACTTAGTGGTCTATTCCGTTTTTTAATTTGTTCATGGTTCAATGTTGGTAGATTGTACGTGTCTAGTAATTTATCCACTTTTCTACATGTTCTAACCTATTGTCACGTAGTTGCTCATAGTAGCCACTAATGATCCTTTCAATTTCTACACTTATCAGTTGTAAGGTCTCCTTTATCATCTGTGATTTTATTTATTTGGACCTTCTCTCATTTTTTCTTAGTTATTCTGGCTAAAGTTTTGTCACTTTGGTTTAACTTCTCAAAAAAACAACTTTTTCTTTCATCCATTTTTGTATTATTTTCTTCATTGTAATTTCATTTATTTCTGCTCTAATCTTTGTTATTTATTTTATTCTACTAATTTTGGTTTGATTTGCTCTTGCTTTTCTAGCTCTTTAAGATGCAACATTAGGTTGCTTATTTGAAGTTTTTTTTTTATTTTTTTATGTAGGAACTAATGACAATACACTTTCTTCTTAGTACCGCTTTTGCTGTATCCCATAGGTTTCAGTATGTTGTGTTTGCACTGTCATTTGTTTCAAGAAGCTTTTTTTAAATTTTCTTTTTAATTTCTTTATTGACCTACTTTGGTCAGTTTGGTCATACTGTTAAATTTCCATGTATTTGCATAATGTCCAGAATTCCTTTTGTTATTAATTTCTAGTTTTATTACATTGTCATCAGAGAAGATGCTTGATATTATTTCAATTTGCTTTTGAATGTTTTAGACTTCTTTTGTGGCCTAACATATGGTATATCCTTGAGAATAATCTATGTGCTGAGAAGAAAAAAATGTGTATTCTGTAGCTCTTGGATGAAATGTTCTGTAAATATCTATTACATCCATTTGGTCTATAGTGCAGGTTAAATCCAATGTTCCTTTGTTGATTTTGTGTCTGGAAGATCTGTCCAATGCTAAAAGTGGGGTGTTGAATTCTCTACCTATTGAGGCCTATCTCTCTCTTTAGCTCTAATAATATTTACTTTATATATCTGGCTGCTCCAGTGTTAGGTGCACCTATGTTTAAAAAAATCATATCATCTTGCTAAATTTACCCCTTTGTCATTATATAGTAACCTACTTTGTCTCCTCTTATAGTTTTTGCCTTGAAATCTATTTTGTCTAATTTAAGTATAGTTACTTGCATTCCTTTTTGGTTTCCATTGGCATGAAATATACATTTTTTCATCCCTTGATTTTCAGTCTCTGTGTGCCTTCATAGGTAAAGTGTGTCTCTTGGAGGCAACAGATCATTGGTTCTTATTTTCTTGTCCATTCAAACATTCTATGTCTTCTGATTAGAGAGATTAATCCATACATTCAATGTTGTTATTGATAACTGAGGACTTGGCTCCTTCCATTTTGTTGTTTTTTTGGTTGTTTTGTGGTCCTCTGTTCCCTCTTCTTTTCCTTCTTGTCCTCTTTATTTTGTGAAGGTGATTTTCTCTGGTGATATGATTTAGTTTCTTCCTTTTAATTTTTTGTGTATCTCTGGTAGGTTTTGGTTTGAGGTTACCATGAGGTTAGCAAATATTATCATATGACCCATAATTTTAAGCTGATAACTTAACTCTTTTTCATAAAGAAACAAGCAAAAATTAAAGTAATAAAAACTCCCCATATTACTTTCACCCTCTCACTTTTTTATTTTTTTATATCTTATTATATTGTTGATGTCTTCAAAAATTGGTGAAGTTTTTATTTTTGAATGATGTATCATTTAGTCTTAGGATAAGAGTAGTTTATACACCTTAATCCCAGTGTTATAATATTCCATGTTTTTCTGTGTACTTACTATTACCAGTGAGTTTTGTAGCTTCAGGTAATTACTTATTGCTCATTAACATTCTCTTCTTTCTGATTGAAGAACTCTCTCTGGAAATTTTTGCAGAAAATGTCTGGTTTTGATAAAATCCCTCGGCTTTTGTTTGTCTGGAAAAGTCTATTTCTCCTTCATGTTTGAAGGATAATTTCATCAGATCTATTATGTTGGTGCAAAAGTTATTGCAGTTTTTGCCATTCCTTTTAATGCAATAAATTTTACACAAACCTTAAATCACACTAACTATTGCAACAATCTAATACTATTCTAGGGTAAAAGTTTTTTTTTTCCTTCAGCACTTTAAATGTGTCATGCCACTCTCTCCTGGTCTGTAAGTTTTCCACTGAAAAGTCTGCTGCCAGACCTATGGGAGTTCTATTATATCATACTTGTTTCTTTTTTCTTGCTGTTTTTAGAATATTTTCTTTATCCTTGACCTTTGGAAGTTTGATTATTAAATGCCTTGAGGTAGAGTCTTCTTTGGGTTAAATCTGCCCTGTGTTCTATAACCTTCTTGTACTTGGATATTTATGTATTTCTCTAGGTTTGGGAAGTTCTGTTATTATCCCTTTGAATAAACTTTCTGCTGCTATCTCTTCCTCTACCTCCTCTTTAAGGCCAATAACTTTTATATGTGCCTCTTTGAGGCTATTTTCTAGATCCTGTAGGTTGATTTTAGAGTGCTAGGTTTTGAGAGTACTTAGGCGGTAGTCTTTTTACTCATTTTTCAATTGTCTCTTCTGAGTGTATCTTTTCAAATAGCCTGTCTTCAAGCTCACTAATTCTTTCTTCTGCTTGATCAGTTCTGCTGTTAAAGGATTCTAATGCATTCTTCATTATGCCAATCACATTTTTTGGCTCCAGAATTTATTCTTGATTCTTAATTACTTCAATCTCTTTATTAAATATATCTAATAAAATTCTGAATTCATTCACCGTGTTATCTTGAATTTTATTGAGTTTCCTGAAAACAACTATTTTGAATACTTTATCCAAAAAATCATATACCTCTGTTTCTCTAGCACTGGTCCCTTGTGCCTTATTTAGTTTATTTGGTGAGGTCATGTTTTCCTGGATCCTCTTGATACATGAAGATGTTTGCCTGTGTCTGGGCATTAAATATTAGGTATTTATTGTAGTTTTCTCACTCTGGGCTGTTTGTACCCTTTCTTCTTGGGAAGGTTTTCCAAATATTCAAAAGACTTTGGGTGTTGTGATCTAAGCTGAATCTACTTTAGGAGTACCCCAAACTTAGTAATACTGTGCTTTTTGCAGACTTACAGAAGTACCACCTTGATTATCTTGGACAAGGTCCAGAAGAATTCTCTGGATTACCAGGAAAACACTTGTTCTCTTCTCTTACTTTCTCCCAAACAAATGGAGTCTCTGTCTCTATTCTGAGCCACCTGAAACTAGGGGTGGAGTGGCTCAGGCACCCCATGGCTATCATCGTTATGACTGTGCTAGATCAGACCTAAAGTCAGTACTGCACAGGGTCTCGTCCAAGGCCTGCTGTAACCAATCCCTAGCTACCACCTGTGTTCTCTCAAGGCCTGGCCCTCTAAAAACACCAGGTGGCAAAGTCAGTCAGACTTGTGTTTTTTCTTTCAGGGTGGTGATTTGCCCCAGACCCCAAATGGGTCCAAAGGTGCCGTCTGGGAGCCCGGGACTAGAGTAAAAATCCTTAGAAGTCTATCTGGTGTTCTATTGTACTGCAGCTGAGCTGGCATTTGAACCACAAGACACAGTCCTTCTCACTCTTCCTTTACCTTTCCAAAGCCAGAGGAGCCTCATCCAATGGCCACTACCATCACAGGCCCATGGAAAGTATGGCCAGACTATAGCCAGTGTACCCCTAAGCCCCAAGGGCTCTTCAGTAAGTTTGTGGTGAATGCTGCCTGGCTAGGATTCACCCTTCAGGGCAGCGGGCTCCCCTCTGAGCCAGGGCAAGTCCAGAAATGCCATTTGAGAGTCAAGTCCCAAAACTGAGGCCCCCAGAGCCTGCTTGGTGCTCTCCACTTCTGCGACCAAGCTGGTACCTAAGGTCCAAGGCAAAGTCCCCTTTACTTTTCCCTCTGCTTTTTCAAAGCAGGAGTCTCACCCTCTAGCCACCACAGCTGGTAATGCACTGAGTCTCACCTGAAGCCAGCAAATCTCAGAGTCTTACCCAAGGCCCTTGATGTAGTACCTGGGTATCAGCGCTGGTTATTCAGGGCCCAAAGTCTCTTCAGTTTAGCAGGTAATGAATCCTGCCAGGACTGGGTCCCACCCTTCAAGGCAGCAGTTTCCTTTCTGTCCTAGTGAGTGTCTAGAAATGTCATCCAGAAGCTAGAGCCTAGAAAAGGGGCCTTACATCTCTGACCATTGACCTATTCTGCTGTGACAGAGCTGGTGTCCAACAGGCACAACAAAGTCCTCCACAGTCTTTTTTCTCCTCTCCTCAATCAGAAGAGAGGCGTCTTTTTTGGAGTCATGAGCTGTGCAGCCTGGGGTTAGGGGAAGGGTGATGCCAGCACTCCTGTAGCTGCCCTTGCTGGTGTCTCAATAGGTCTCATGTTCCCCCGTCTTCTGGCTCTGGGCCTACATCTGCACTAGGATTCACCCAGGTTTTACAGTCCTTGTGGCCTAGATTTCCTTTCAAAATTATTTAGGGCTGCAAAGCACTTTAGCCCTTGTGAGATCTCAAATTTGAATGTTGAGATTGGGATTATCCTCTGACTATGGCTGGCTTAAATGTTCCCTCAATGGGTGGGAGTCACCTGACTTTGGTCCGGTTTTGTTTTTTTGCTATAATAGGGCAGCACTGAGCCAGTCCTCTGCCTAGTGCACAGAACTCACTCTGCAGCATGCCACCCACTGCCAGGGAAGGGTGCTGTCAGTGATTTATGGCTTTTTTTTTCCTCTTCAGTGCCTCTTCCAGAGATATGAAGTTAAAACCAGGTACTGTGGTGCTCACCTGATTTTTGGTTCTTATTAAGGTGCTTTTGTAGTGTAAATAGTTGTTGAATTGGTATCCTTGTGGGAGAAATGATTGGTGGAGTCTGTTCCACCATTTTGCTCTACCTCAACCTATTGTAAATTTATTAATGCTCTGATAGAGTACCTTGTATGATGGCTAAGAAAATAGTATCTCAAGTATATTCAAGTTTAAAAGAACTCTAGGAATCACCTAATATGATGAATTTATTGTACGGATGTTGAAAATAAATCCTAAAGAGGTCAAATGATTCAATAAACTTTTCAAAACCATTTTTTTTTATTACAACTGAAACTAAATACCATGCCCACTGAATAATATTCCATGGCCCTTTATAGCACTCAAGTGTCCTAAATTACAGTCTCTGGAACACTAGGGTTCTAATAGATTTTAATAGTTTCTCTGGAAAAAAAAAAAAAGAAAAAAAAGAAAACCTCAGCAGGAAGGACATTTGAGGAACAGCTTTGCTATTTCCAAGGTACGGACAGATTATAAATAAGCCAAAAGGGAAAGTACAGTAACCCAGGGTTATTACCTGTTACTAAGATAAAGGGAGAAAAGGAGGAGAACCTAACCTGAACATGAAAAGAAAGAGTCATATGTGAAAGGCTGTGTTTAGGAGATGTGATTTTCTATCAGGGACAAAAATAGGGATAACCAAGTAGAATTGAAACTGAAGGAACAAGTACCTGAATGTCTTTCTTTCTTCTTATTGGTGTAAGTCAAACCCACAGTAAAGTTAGAGGGCTAAGAAATCTGTTGCTGCAACACATACAGGTCAGTCTTTCAAGGCAGAGAGCAGAGTAGAGAAGGATGGATAAGAAATACAGGTAAGAAAAACAGAAGATATATAGCAATATAGTCATATAAGTTCTGAAAACAGTTAATTAAAAGGTTTGTTCACAGGATCTGTTTACTGAAAATGTTTAAATCTGTACTGAGAATCTCTACTGAGACTCTGTAAGATTGGAAACAATCAGTGTGTTCAAAACAAGTTTGGACCTGGAAATTTTTTTCAAGAGACAAATATTTACATTTTGCATGTAAAATAGCATATAATAATGGATCATAAAACCTTGTAAGATAATGCCTTTCCATAAAACTCTGAGATCTTATCAATAAAATTCTCTAATCAAATGTAGTATTTTCTATAAGGTTTGTGACATTTTGAAGACATTGTTTAGACAATCTATTTCTAGAATTCTTGTACCGGAAGAACCAAGTTAATATAACTTTGTGGTTCTGCTCATGGTTCTAAGCAGAAGCAACAGTATAACATATTTAAAGGCAGTTGCAAAGTCATACTCATCATTTTGCATTGCTTTAACACTCTTCACCAATGCTCCACACACACAAAAATACTTTATATTTATGTAGTTTGTGTTCACCCAAAATTCATATGTTGAAACCTTTTCGCCAAAGTGATGGTATGAGAAGTAGGGGTCTTTTGGGAGGTAGTTAGGTCATGAAGGTAGATTCCTCATGAATAGAATTAGTGTTCGAACAAAAGAGGCCCCAGAAAGAAGCCTTACCCCTTTGACTATGTGAGGACACAACTAAAAGACACCACCTTTGGATCAGGAAATAGACTCTCACCAGACACTAAATCTACCAGTGACTTGATCGTGGATGTCCCAGTCTCCAGAACTGTGAAAAATAAATTTACATTGTTTATAAGCTATGTGGCCCATGGTACTTTGTTAAGTAGCCCAAATTATCTAAGAAACATGGTTATTCTAATACTAAATTTTAAAAGGCTTTTATGCTACATGTGAAGTGATATAATATCACTTAAGGGCAGACTGTGATAATTTAAAGATGTTCACGCTAAACCCTAATCACTAAAATAACAAAATAAAAAAATGTTAATAGGACAACAAAGGGAATAAAATTTAATCATAAAATAATCAAAAAAGGAGAAAAACTTTAATAAATGTGTAAAATAATAAACAACAAAAGATGAGACAAAAAACAGACAGCAAAATGGCAAGTGCAATTTACCTATATCAATAATCGCACTAAACTGCTGTGGTATAAATACTTCCATTAAAAGGAGATTTTCAGATTGAATAAAATCACACGTCACAACTATATGCGGGTCATAAGTAACAAACTTTATAAAGACAAAAATAGGATTAAAATAATAGACAAAATAGACCATGTTAATACCACTAAAAACAAAATTTCAATGGCTATAACCGTGTCAGTAAAAGTAGATTCATCAATTTAGCAAAAGTACATAATGTTACCAAATGTTTATTATCTTAATAAATTAACTTCAAAATACATAAAGCAAAAATTGATAGAAATGTAAGGAGAAATAGAAAAGTCCACCATTATAGCCAGAGATCCCAATATTTCTCTTTCAATAAATAACAGAAAATGTAGACAATCAGTAAAATTATAAAAAAAAAAACACATTAAATCACCTTGATGTAATTAAAATTTTTTTGACCACTCCTCCCATCGATAGCAGAATGTACATTCTTTTTAAGTGCACCTGGAACATTTAGTACAATAGACCATCTTCTGAGCAATAAAATGTTTTAATAAGTTTAAAAGAATTCAACTGTTACAAAGAATGTTCTCTAACCACAATGAAATTAAATTGGAGATTGATTACAGAAAGACATTTGGAATATTGTCAAATGTTTGGAACCACACAAATAATTTTAAATAACTAATGGGTAACAGAAAAAATCAGAATACAAATTAAAATATTTTGAACTGAATAACAGTAAAAACACAGCATATCAAAACATGTCATTTGCCACTAAGTAGTACATGGTGGGAATGTATAGTACTAAATGCGAATATAAAAAAAGAATAAAATCCTCAAATAAACAACTTCAACTTAAAAAACTGGGAAAAGATCAGCAAAATAAACCCAAAGCAAGGAGAATGAATAAAATTATAAAAATAAACATGAAAATCATAAAATATAAAACAGAAAAACAGCATGGAAAAATCAATAAAAGTTTCTTGGATTAAACCCCAAATCAACAAGCCTTTTGCCAAACTCACCAGGAAACAAAGAAGAAACAAATTACTAATATCAGGAATGAGGTAGGTGATGTGGTATCAGTACAGGTTCTATAAATATTCACAGGATAATAAAGAAATTTTATAAATGGCTTTATGGCTTTAAATTTCATAGTTTCAATGAAATGAAAATGTTCCTTGAAAAATAAAAACTATGAAGTTTCACTTAAGAAGAAATAGATATCATGAGTAATTCCATATCATTTAAAGAAATTGAATATGTAGTTAAAAACCTACTGAAAAAGAGAATCCCAGGCCAGATAACTATATGGGTGAGTTCTACCAAACATTTAAGGAAGTATTCATGTCAATTTTACACAATCTCTTCCAGAAAATTGCAAAGCAGAGAACATTCTCCAACTCATTCTATGAAGGCAGCAATACACTGATAGTCAAAAAGATGTTACAAGATAATGAAACATACAAACTAATAGCCTTCATTAATAAATGCAAAAATTTTAATCAAAACTTTAGCAAATTGAATCTAATGATACATTAGAAGGATCAGAATTTATCACTGGAATGCAAACCTAGTTTAAAATTAAAATATCAATGCAATTAAACATATTAACAACAAAAAAGTATTACCATCTCAATATACTCAGGAAAAAACTTTTACAAAAATCCAACATCCATTTCTGATGAAAGATATAGCCAAAAGGGGAAATCCTCAACCTAATGAAGAACTTCCATGAAAATCCTACAGCTAACATCATATTTAAAGGTATTAAGTCACACACTTTATCCCTAAGATGAGGAACAAGACAAGGATGTCTGCTATTATCACATACATTCAACTAGAAGAGGTATATGCAGTGCACACAGGCAAGAAAAATATGTAAATAGAATTCAAATTGGAAAATAAAAAGTAATACTATCTTAGTTTGCAGATGATGTGATAATCTACATAGAAAACCAAATAGAATATAAAAGAATCCTAGAAATACTAAACAAATTTAGCAATATTGCAGGATACAAAATCAAAATAGTAAAAGAAGCTGCATTTCTATATTCCACTAATGGCCAATCTGAAATTGAAATTTAAAAACACCCTTACAATAACATTAAAATATAAAATGCAAAAAGATGTGCAAGACCAGCAAATCAAAAACTGTAAAACAATTATGAGAGAAATTAATGAAGGCCTAAGAAAAGGAGAAATGCAAAGGAGACATAAACAGAGAAATGTTTATGAATTGTGAATTTAAGATATCAGTTTTTCCTAAATTAATGTGTATATTAAATGAAAACTGAAAGGTTGTTTTCAGAAATTGATTAGCCAATTTTAAAATTCACATGGTAATACAAAGGTCCCAAAATAACAAAAAATAATATTTTACAAGAGGAACAAAGTTGAAGTACTTCCTAATTTCTGTCGTCCTTATTGTTATTGTTGTTGGTGGTGACAGCACCTCGTTCTGTCACCCAGGCTGGAGTGCAGTGGCGTGATCTCGGCTCATGGCAACCTCCACTTCCTCGGTTCAAGCGATTTTCATGCCTCAGCCACCAGAGTAGCTGAGGTTACAGGCATGCACCACCATGTCCAAATAACTTTTGTATTTTTAGTAGACACAGAGTTTCACAATGTTGGTCAGGCTTGTCTCAAACTCCGGAGCTCAAGTGATCCGCCTGCCCCGGCCTCCCAAAGTGCTAGGATTACAAGGTGAGCCATAGTGTCTGGCTCTAATTTCTATCTATAGAATAAAATCAAGATTATTATCTGACTTCAAGACTTATTATAAAGCTGTAGTAATGAAGACAGGTGGTATTTGACTCAAAGGTAGGAAAAATAAATCAATAGAGCTTAGTAGAGAATCCAGTAAGAGAGAAACATTTGTGGAGAATTGATTTATGACAAAGATACAAACACAATTCAGTGGAAGAAAGACAGTCTTTTTTTTTTTAACAAATGATGTTAAAATAATTAGATGTCTATAGGCAAAACAAAAAAAAGTTTTTTTGACTACATATAAAAATTCCCTTAAGTTTGATCATGAAAAATTTTAAAATGCAAAACTACAATACTTATAGAGGACTGCTAGAAGAAAGGCTTTATGACCTTTGGTTACACAAAATCTTCTTAGATATGATTTCAAAAATATGATTTATGAAAGAATAAATTGTTAAACTGGATTTTATCAAAACCAAAATCTTCTGCACTTTCAAAGGCACAGTTTAAAAAAGAAAAATACAACCTACAGACTAGGACAATATAGTTGCAAATCATATATCTGATAACGGTGTTTTAAAAATGAGACAAATATCTTAACAACCATTGACCAAAAAAGATGTAAGAATGGCAAATAAACAGAAAAATGATGCTCAACATTTTAGTCATTAGGGAAATGCAGATTAAAACCATATATAGATGCCATTACACAGCTAGTAAAATGGCTGAAATGAAAATTACTGACTGATTATACCAAGTGTTAGTAACCATATGGAGCAACTAAAACTTTCAACAATGCTGATGGATGCTTAAAATGGCAAACTACTTTGGAAAACGGTGTGGCAATTTCTTGAAAGTTAAGTATACACTTTGAATATGATGCAATCATTCTGCAACTAAATATTTACATGAGAGAAAAGAAAGTGTTACAAAGGCTGATACATGCATGTTTCTACCAGCTTAATTTTTAATAGCTAAGACGTAGAAATAATCCAAATGTCCATGAACAAGTTAGTGAACAAACTAATATATATTCTTGTGTGAAATACTACTCAGTAACAAAAAGGAATTAACTATTATTACATGCTATAATAAAAATGAATTTCAAAATCTGTGCTGAGTCAAAGATGTTAGAATGAAAAGCATATTTTATCAACCCATTTAAAGTTCTAGAAAGTTCAAAATGAATAGTGACAGAAAGTGCTGGAAGAGGGGAAAAGGTAGGATGCAGTAATTACAAAGGAGCATGAAGAAAGTTTTTCAGTGATGTATGTGTTCATTATTGTGACTGAGGTGCAAGTTTCATGGATATATATATATATATAAATATATGTTTTTATATATAACAGTCTCTTCCGAAAAGTGTAAGAGGGAACACTTCTTAAATAATTCTGTAAATATAGAATTAATCTAATACAAAAACAGTTGAAGATTTTACAAGGTACGGAAACTACAGACAATAGCTATCATAAACACAGATGCAAAAATTCTCAACTAAATATTACGAAATCAGTTCCAACAATGTATAAAAATAATTCTACACCATGACCAAAAGAGATTTACAGTAGCTATGCAATGATGTTTCAACATTTGAAAATAATGTATTTGGCACACCAACAGGCTATAGTACATTAAGAGTATTTGACACTTTAAAAACTCATTAAAGGTAAAGAAAAAAAGTTCTCAAACTGTAAATAGCGAGAAACTTCCTAAACTTGACAAAGAACATCTGCAAAAAGCCTAAAACTGTCTTCATGCTTAACAGTAAGAAATTGCATGTTTTCTCCCTACATTCCAGAGTAAGGCAAGGATGTCTCCTCATCACCCTTTATTCAGAATTGCACTTGAAGTCATAGCTAGTGCAATAATACAAGAAAAAAAAATAGCATACATATTGAGTAGTGAGAAAATATTAGCAACCAAAAAACCTTTCAGAATTCAACAGTGAAAAAAATCCAATTAGAGAATAGGCAAATTATACGAAGACACATTTCAGCTAAGAACACATTTTCAAAATAATTATCCATTACAAAAATGGAAATAAAATCACTGTAAGGTATTACTACACACATATCAGAATTGCTAAAATGAAATATATTAACAACACCAAATGCTATTCGGAATGTGCAGAATTTATTTCACTTTGTTGCTAGTGAGGATATGAAAGAAATGGTCCCGATTCTCTGCAAAACAGTTTGACAATTACTTAAAAAACTAAACATCCACCTACCTCCTGACTCAGTAATTGAACTCCTGGGCATTTATCCAGGAAAATAAAAACTTCTACACTAATGTATAGAAAACCTGACACTAATGTTTATAGTAGATTTACTTATAATAGTCAAACACTAGAAACAATCATCAGATGTTTTCAGTAGGTGAATGGTTATACAAAGTGTGGTATAGCCATACCATGGAATACTATTCAGCATTAAAAAAATACTGTTACACACAAAAAACTGGATGAGTCTCCAGATAATTTTGAGGAATGCAGAAATAATCCCAAAAGGTTATATAGTATATGAATTTATTTATATTATTCTTGAAATTTAAAAAATTATGACGATGGAGAACAAATTAGCAGTTGCCAAGGATAAAGAGGAGGTGAGGTAGGAGAAAAGTAGGTGTGATTATAAAACGTTAATGTGAGGATGCTTGTTGTGATAGAAATGTTCTGTATCTTGACAGCAACAATGACAATATCCTGGTAGTAATAAGGTACCATAGTTTTGTAAGATGTTATCATTGGAGGAACTCGAGTAAATGATTCACAGAATCTTTCAGAATTATTTCTTTCACCTGCATACAAATCAATAATTATCACAAAATTAAAAGATTATAATTAAAAACTAGTTTGCTTAGTGTTTCTGTGCAGATAGCTAGTTTGCACTTGTAAATTATGAACATAAAGTGAAAAATATTTGTGTTTACTTAAGTATTCATTCTTATATCATCTGGCATCTACTTCTTTTATTTATTTATTTGTTTTTGAGACGGAGTTTCGCTCTCGTTCCCCAGGCTGGAGTACAGTGGCGCGATCTCAGCTCACTCCAACTTCCACCTTCTGGGTTCAAGTGATTCTCCTGCCTCAGCCTCCCGAGTAGCTAGGATTACAGGCATGTGCCACCACACCTGGCTAATTTTGTATTTTTAGTAGAGAAAGGGTTTCTGCATGTTGGTCAGGCTGGTCTTGAACCCTCGACCTCAGGTGATCTGCGTGCCTCAGCCTCCCAAAGTGCTGAGATTACAGGTGTGAGCCACCGTGCCCGGTAGTTTGGCATCTACTTCTTAGGCTTTTTCCTTTCTTTCATTTTGTTTAAAATCTGGAGATGTAGATAATCCAAAAAAGGAGTGGTACTTCCATAACCAATTAAGAAGAGCACATATATACATTCAGTCTAATTTATATCCTTTACCTCCTAACAGAAAACACTTGTCTCTTCTTTGATGCTGACTCAAAGGTCTGATCCCCTGCCTGGAAGCTAACCTTGGATAGATTCCCAGAATTGTCTCTTCTACTCCCACAACCAACCTTTTTCAAAGACTTCAGAAGACTGGATCAACATTTTTGCCTATGTTGGATGACTCACAGAAGCACACACTATATAGTATAGTGATTTTACAGCCTTTCTTCTAAACCCAGACTCGCTTAGCTATGTATTCTTTAATGGGCCAAGAGTGCTACAACTTCCACTCTGCTCTACTAGCAGCCACGGGCTTGGATTTCTACCAATAATTAAATTTATTAAATGTAATAGCCTTTAGCAAGCACCAAGTTTAGTTAGCTAAAGCTTAAAAGAAAAGAATAGCCTACATAATATCCACAGCCAGACTATAGTGGAAATATGTGATCCCTAGACTCAGCTTCTGGTGTCCCAGTCATTTTATGCTAAGGAATTAGGTTGAATATGTGCAGAGCACCTCAGCTCAGGCAAGCCAATAAGCTCTAGGGTCCCTTTAGCCTTTAATAACAAGATAATCACATAGCCCTTCCAATATATATGACTGGGAGTCCATGACGAGCTTCCATCTACAAATGCAGTTGTGTGTCATCAAAGCTGGTTTTTCCTTATTTAATAAACAATGTTGACAGTGTCTGGTTCAATAGATATTTTGATAAGGTTCCTATCTCCCTTGAATTTAGTATGGAATTTTTTAAATGATTTTATGAGTATGTGTTGTAAGAATAATTGGCCAAGGATCAAATCCTCAGACATCTCTAAAGCTAAAGGAAATGACACAGAATCAGCTGTTTATCCTTTTCTTCGGGTTTCAGAGCAGGCTTCAAGGGGATATTGCCCTCAGAGACTGCAAAGGACTTCTTACTTCCTAGCATAAGGTGTCAGAGCCCCTGCAGGTATATGAGATGTCAGAGCCAAATTAAGGTAAGGAGAGGGATAGTCCAAAATGGAATGTCAGAGCTTGAGTAGAGAATGTGCAGGTGAAGGAGTAGCCAAGTGTGTTTTGTCAGAGCTCAGGCACAGTAAGAAAAAAATGCATAGAGAAAGGCAGTCCAGTTCAAGGTGTCAGAGCCTGATGGGAGGAAAAACAGGGTGTTAACTAGAGGCACCATCTAGTGAGACATGCCAGAGATTCAGCAAGGTGAGGAAAGCATCAGCACGGGAAGCAATCTAGCAAGAGTATCAGATCTTGATCAGGGTAAGGAGGGCATCCTTAGAGAAGGGTATCCTGGAGCGAGGTGTGAGTACACGAAGTGGCTGAGAAGGGAAAAGATAGGAGGGGTGAAGTTCAGGTGCATGGTATCATTGCCAGAGTGTGGTGAGGAAGGCAGTGGTGAAAGAGCAACAGACTTCTGAGCAGTGTGAGGAGGGCAACCATGTTGGGGGAAGCTGGTAGCAATGGCAGCAATAGGAGTATGATAATGCATGTAAGGACTCATGAAATAAATATATACACACACACACACACACACAAACATATATATGTTTAGAATATAAAGGTATGTTTAGAAAACAATGTGAACTAATTTTCATACTGTTACAGAAGAAATTATAAATATGGAAAAGGAAAATATTATAAGAAAGTATGGTAATAGTCTGGAATCGGAGGCTTCATTATGAATTCATGGTTTTCAAAACATACAGATGGATACAGAAACAAAGATACACATAAGTTTCCACTGTAATATATTGTACTATAATTAAATATGTAACTATTTTACATTACTTGTGTTTGTACATACATATATTCCTTAGCCCTGTCCATTGAAAAGGCTGGGGAAAAATAATGTCTCAACAGCAATGAGCATACCCAACACAGATTATAACTTCTAAATATTATTCTCCACTAAAAATAAAAAAACCGTCTAGTATCCTCAGATAAATGCTGGCTTAATGGCTGGGCCAGAAAAACTACAAGATGATTCTGGATATCTTGGGCCAGAAAGCAAGGGAGCTCTCTAAAATAATGATGCAGATGCCTAGAAAAGACATAGAAACTAGTTAAAGGGATTCCCACTGGCCCAACCAGGACCATTTTAAGGAGCAAATTAAGTAATGATACAATGATATGGAGTTAACTCATTGACAGAAAACTATGTGTCTTTTCTGATGTAAATTAATATATGAAAAAATTAAAAGTTTCATGAGAAACAGTGTATTTTTAAAGTTTTAACGTATCTCCTGATAGAATAATTATTAATTACAAAGGGAATAAGAATAACTTTACTCTGGAAAATACCACCTAGGTCAAGTGATCAAAGCAAACATCATCAGTTGGAATGGACAAATTGAAACAATGTGTTACTTCACTAGCTATCAGTTACTAATACCCTGACCTGTAAAATATTAATGAGTTTAGTCAAATCCTGTTTGACCACTGTACACATTAGTAGCAGACTAAAAAAATAATGAATTTAAAAAAATGTGTGCCTTTCTCCCAGGACATTGTAAGAGGAGCATTAGGAGTTCAGGTATCAATGTCATTTCTTCAAAGGCTGAAGACTTTGGTGATGACACTGGCCCGGCCACTCACCATCTCAGTCCTCTTGCACAAGCTATTTGACCTTTCTGGATCACAGTTGTTTATCACTTAAAATTAGTGATTGGACTGTGGTTGTTCAAGGGATTCCTACTAAAACTCTAGACATCTAACCCTAAAAATAAGTTTATGCTCTTTAAAAGTATATACATTGTTATATTTGAAAATGTGTGTATCTGTACGAGATAACATTTGATTACAATTATGTAAACAATTTTTCAGGATAATCAAATTATGTCTCTTCACATAAAAGAAGAAACTTTCTGGTACAGTGTTAATGTTTTATTGGCCATTACTGATGGCCTGAATTTTGTCTTTTACCCTGAGTAGTCAATGTTGCTATTATAGCATTAGTGTAACCAGTTGAAATGGTAATATGTCATTGCTAATGGTCAAATGGTCCAATCACTGAAATAAGATTTCTTTTTTAAAACTTTTATTTTACATTCAGAAGTGCACACACAGTTTTATTATGTAGGTAAATTCTGTGTCATGGGAGTTTGGTGTACAGATTATTTCATCACCCAGGTAATAAGCATGGTGCCCAATATGCAGTTGATTTTTTTTTCTTCATCCTCTCCCTCCTCCCACTTCCTCTACCTTCAAGTAGGCCCAGTGGCTGTTGTTCTCTTCTTTGTGTCCATGTTTTCTTAATGTTTACCACCCACCTATAAGTGAGAACATGCAGTATTTGGTTTTCTGTTCCTGAATTAGTTTGCTTAGAATAATGGCCTCCAGCTCCACCCATGTTTGCTGCAGAGAATACGGTCTTGTGTTTTTGTTTTTTTTGCTTGGGTGGTATTCCATGATGTATGAGTACCACAATATCTGTATCCAGTCTACCGCTGATGGGCATTTAGGTTGATTACATGTCTTGCTATTGTGAACAATGCTGTGATCAACACATGTAGGTATGTGTCTTTACGGTAGAGTAATTTTTATTCATTTGGGAATGGTATCAGCTCTTCTCTATACATCTAATAGAATGTAGCTGTGAATCCATCTGGTTCTGTGCTTTTTCTTATTAATAGGCTTATTATTACCGATTCAATTCTGGAACTTGTTATCGGTCTGTTCAGGGATTCAATTTCTGTCTGGTTCAATCTTGGGAGGTTGTGTTTCCAGGAGTTGGTTTATTTCTTCAAGATTTCTTAGCTTGTGTGCATAGAGTTGTAGGTTGGTGCAAAAGTTACTCTGGTTTTTGCCGTTGAAAGTAATGGCGAAAATCGCAATTACTTTTGCACCAACTTAATAATAGTCTCTGAGGGTTTTTTGTATTTCTGTGGGGTCAGTGGTCATGCTCTGTTGTCATTTCTGATTATGTTTATTTGAATATTCTTTCTCTTTTTATTAGTCTAGCTAGTCTATTTACGTTAATTCTTTCATTATACCAACTCAGGGATTAATTGATCGTGTGTGTGTGTGTTTCTATTTCCTTCAGTTCAGCCCTGATTTGGGTTACTTTTTGTTGTAGTTGGCTGGTCTTGAACTCCTGACCTCAAGTGATCTGCCCGCCTCGGCCTCCCCCAAAGGCCGAGTCACGATTTCAAGCGTGAGCCACTGCTCCTGGCTGGATTTGTGTTATTTCTGGTCTTCTGCTAGATTTGGAATTGTTTTGCCTTTATTTCCTGAGTTCCTCTGGATGTGATATTAGGTTGTTAATCTGAGATCTTTCTGACTTCTTGATGTGGGCATTTAGTGCTATAAACTTCCCTCTTAACACTGCCTTAGCTGTGTTCCAGAGACTCTGATATGTTGTCTTTCTTCTCTAGTTTCAAAGAATGTCTTTATTTCTGCCTTAATTTCATCATTTACCCAAAAGTCTTTCAGGAGCAGGTTGTTTAATTTCCCTGTAATTATATCATTTTGAGCAATTTTCTTAGCATTGATTTTTAATTTTTTATTGCACTGTGTTGTGAAAATGTGGTTGGTATTTTTTTTTTTTGAATTTGCTGAGGATTGTTGTATGGCCTGTTGTATGATCAATTTTAGAGTGTGTGCCATATACAGATAAGAATGTGTATTCTAATGTTTGGGGGTCAAGAGTTGTGTAGTTGTCTCTTTGGTCTATTTGGTGAAGTGTGGACATCAGATCCTGAATATCTTTGTTAGCTTTCTGCCTTGATGTTCTGTCTAATACTGTCAGTATTGAAGTCTCCCACTATTATCGTGTGGAAGTAAGTCTCTTCATAGATCTCTAAGAACTTGCTCCATGAATCTGGGTGCTCTTGTGTTGGGTGCATATATATTTAGGATAGTTAGGTCTTCTTGTTGAATTGAACCCTTTTACCATTATGTAATGCACATCTTTGTTGTTGTTTTTTTTTTATCTTTGTTGGTATAAAGTCTGTTCTGTCTGACATTGGGATTGCAACCCCTGCTTTTTTCTGATTTCCATTTGCTTGGTAAATTTTTCTCCATCCCTTCATTTTAAGCCTATGGGTGTTATTGCAGGAGAGAAAGGTCTTTTGAAGACATCATGCTGTTGGATCTGGCTTCTTTATCCAGCTTTACACTCTGTGCCTTTTAACTGGGACATTTAGCCTATTTACATTCAAGGTTAACATTGACATATGTGGATTTGATCCTGTCATTGTGTTGTTGGCTGACTTTTACGCAGGCTTGTTTGTGTGGTTGCCTTATAGTGTCAACGGTCTGTGTAATTAAGTTTGTTTTTGTTGTGACTGGTAACAGTGTTTCCTTTCCATATTTAGCACTCCTTTCAGGACCTCTTGTAAGCCAGGTCTGGTGGTAATAAATTCCCTTATAATTTACTTGTCTGAATAGGATTTTTATTTCTCTTTTTCTTATGAAACAGTTTGGCTGAATATAAAATTCTGGCTTGGAAATTATTTTCTTTTAGAATCTTGAATATAGGTCTCTAATGCCTTTTGGCTTATAGGGTTTCTGCTGAAAAGTCCACTCATGGGGTTCCTTTTTCAGATGAACTGCCCCTCCTACCTGCTTTTTAACATTATTTTTTCTTTCATTTTCACCTTGGAGAATCTGATGATTATGTCTTACAGATGGTCTTCTTGTGTACTACCTCAAATGTGTTCTCTGTATTTCCTGAATTTGTAAGTTGGCCTCTCTAACAAGGTTGGGGAAATTTTCATGGAAAATATACTAACATATGTTTTCCAAGTTGACTGCTCTACCCGCCTGTCTTTTAGGGACACTAATGAGTCATAGATTTGGGCTCTTTACATAATGCAATATTTATCAGAGGTTTTGCTAATTTATTTTTTTTTCTTTATTTTTGTCTAAGTTAGTTTGGAGAGTCAGTCTTCGGCTCTGAGATTCTTTCCTCAGTTTGGCTTATTCTGTTATTAATACTTGTGATTTCATGATGGAATTTTTCTAGTGTATTTTTCAGCTCTATCAAATCAGTTTGTTTTTTCTTATAATGGTCATTTTATCTTTCAGCTCCTAAATCATTTTACTGTAATCCTTAGATTCCTCGGATTAGGTTTTGACTTTCTCCTGAATCTCAATGATCTTTCTCATTCAGACCTCTCCATAGTCTGAAATCTATTTCTGCCATTTCAGACGTTTCAGCCGAGTTAAGAACCCTTGCTGGGGAACTAATGTGATCATTTGGAGGAAAAAAGACACCCTGATTTTTGAGTTGCCAGAGTTCTTGTCCTGGCTTTTTCTTATCTTCGTAGGTTGATGTTCTTTCTCATCTCTGTGGGTTGATGTTTAACTGTGGTATTAATTTGAATGCAGTCAGTTGAATTCTTTTCTGGATGTTTTCAGAAGATCAAGGTTTTATGTGGCTCTTTATTTTTAACTCAATTCTTGTTCTTGGTTTCACAGGGGGGTATATCAGCAAAATATTTTTGGTGTTGAAGTTTCGGATGTAATCCAGTAGATGGTGCCCGAGTGTAATAGCCAGTAGTTAAAGGCTCTTGCTCAGTCACCTGACTCCTATTTCCTCACAATTGCAACCATGCTCCGTCACAGTGCTCTGAAAGTGTGGGCTCCTCTCCCACTCAAGTGCTGGGTGCAGATCTCTACTTGACACTCCTTGGCTGCACTCTGCAGCCCTAAGGTGGGCTCAGGCTTTATGTTCTCTCCCAGCTTTAATGAAAGACCTTGGCAATGGCTGTGGCAGAAGGCCTTTCACTTGTCTCTTGGGGCTTCACCCCAGAGAAATACAGAGCTGCTACCAATCAGTGCAATCGGCCCATGATACCGTCATTGCATTGTAAGCCCAAGCCAGGGGCCCCTGCTTTATAAGCAAGGAGGGCAGGGGATTCTTCTGTGAGATAGACTGGCCTCTTCTCCTTAGGGTGGCTGTGGTTTGCTAGATGTGTGGTTAAAGCACTATGGGTCTTTGCTTCTTCCCCAGTCCAACAGGAGCAAGGGCAGTCCCACTACAGCAGCAGTGGCAGAGGGGCTTTCAGTTGCTCTGAGAGCTCCACCTCAGAGAAACGCGGAGCAGCTGCTACTGGAATGTTCAGCTAGGGGTGGGGCCACTGTGCTGCTGGCCCAAGCTGGGGGCCCCACTTGGTGAAGAGTTGGGGGTCAAGGGTTCACAAGGAAGAGAGACTGGGCTCCTCTTTATATGGTGACTGTGTAGTGCTAGAAGCGTGAGTAAAGCCCTCAGGCTCTTTGTTTCTTCCCCAGTTTGAGGGCAGCAGAAGCAGAACTGTGGCCATAGCAGTAGCACAGGGTTGGTTGGTTACCTCTGGGAGCCCCTCCCCAGGGAATCACGGAGCCACTACCAGTAGGTATGCTCACCCAGGGATGGGAAAGCTCTTCTGCAATTGCAAGCCAGGGCCCCTACTTGGTGAAGAGTTGGGGGTGGCTCATAGGGAATAAAGACTGGGCTCCTCTATCATACTATGGCTGTGGTGTGCTGAAGATGCCAGGCCCTTTCTTCCTTCCCCAGCCCAAGGACAGTAGGGGCGGTAGCACTGCAGCTGCAATGGCAGAGAAGCGGCGGGATTTCTCTGCAATTTCCTCCTCAGAGAAATGCAGAGTGGCCACTGACTGAAGTGTTTTGTCCAGGGTCAGGGTGGTTGTGCTGGGAGACCAGGTTGAGAGGCACTGAGAGGCCATGAAGAGTAGCAGAGGTGGGGACTCATGTGGAAGAGAGTCTGGCCACTTTTCTGTAAGGCAGCTGCACTGTGCTTGGAGTCCACATTAGTTCCTAATTACCACAAACCTTCCTGAGCCTGAGGGCAACAGGAGTGAGGGCTATGGAGCAGCCAAAATTGTGGCCTGCCTGCTTTCTCTCTGCTGTCCCAAGGAAGTAGAGGTGGTTCTGGCCTGAGAATTCAGGCAGAACTGGGGTGACCTGGCTAGGGTTTCAGGCAAGTGGGCCTTATCCTGTGAGATGTAGTAGGTAAGGCCTGTAGTCCTTTACTGCTCAGCTCCGTGGATTTGGACCCTTTTCTGGGGGCATGCAAGGGAGCCTAGCCTCCCCTGTTACCGGAACTGCAGCTGCTGATGCTGGAGCTCTGGGGGATCCAAGGCTCCAAGGACTCTGTCTGTGATTAAGCAACGTCTCTGCCCACATAGCTCTCCATGTAGGTCTGCAGGCCTCTGTTGTGAGGGCTTATGGGGGACCTCCTGAGCCCCAGGTTGCAAAAGTGTCGGTCCCTGGGGACTCTGTTTTTCCACAGTGGGGAAACCTGGCTCCATGCCACTCACAGATGGGCAGTTGTCCTGTCTCACTCGTCTCTATTCTCTGTGAATCAAGTTGTTTCCTTGATGAATCCCAATGTGTCCATCTGGATGTTCCAGTTGAAGAGCTAGTGTTTAGTCACTACTCTCCCTTCTCTCCATGAGAGCTGCACACACTAGCTGCTTCTAGTTATCCATCTTGGCCAGAAAGTCTGAAGTAAGATTTCTTGATATAAGTATGAAATTCTTTCCAATGAAAAGAATAGTTTCCTTAATGTAAAATGTGCTTCAATAATTTAGAATTTGGCTACTAATAATAGGCCTCCATTAAAAAAATAAGACTCTACTGGAAAGCTACTTTGCTCACAATAAAGAAGTAAACAGTCTTTGGGATAGGACAGGAACTGGGCAAGATCTGTATAATTTTCTATCCCAGGCCAGTTTTTTAAAATAAGCTTATTTCTTCCACAAAATATGTACCAGGAAGATACAAATATCACTGGAATTAATACAGATCATATCCAAATTTCCTGATTCAGTGATACCTTCTGTATGAATTTCCTCCTGTTTATATTTCCTAAAATACAGTTCCCCATTTTACACTGCACTATGAGTGTTACTATGAGTGAACTTACTGTTCTTGGTGCTTTTTGACAACTACAGTCAAACTGTTTTTCTTAAAGTTGATTCTAGAAGCCCCTACAGGCTATCATGCATTTGCCTTACATTCTTTTTTTTTTAATTTTATTATTATTATACTTTAAGTTTTAGGGTACATGTGCACAATGTGCAGGTTTGTTACATATGTATACATGTGCCATGTTGGTGTGCTCCACCCATTAACTCGTCATTTAGTATTAGGTATATCTCCTACTGATATCCCTCCCCACTCCCCCAACCCTCCACCCCACAACAGTCCCCGGTGTTTGGTGTTCCCCTTCCTGTGTCCATGTGTTCTCATTGTTCAATTCCCACCTATGAGTGAGAACATGTGGTGTTTGGTTTTTTGTCCTTGCGATAGTTACATTCTTAAATTTAATTAAGGATACCTGCCCTGAAATGTCTCCCCAAAATTCATATATTGAAATCCTAACTCTGAAGATGATAGTATTAGGAGGTATGGCTTTTCAGAGATGATGAAGTCTTGAGCCTTTATGAATGGGATACATACATGTCCTAATAAAAAAGACCCCAGAAAGCTCCCTCACTCTTCCTGTATGGGAGGTTACAGTGAGAAATGGCCTTTGATTGGGAAGCAGGCCTTCACCAGACACAGATTCTGTGGCACCTCAACTTTGGATTTCCCAGCCTCCAGAACTGTGAGAAATAAATATTTATTGTTTGTAAGCCACCAAGTTTATGGTATATTTCTATAGAAACCTGAATGGACTAAAATAAGCCCCTTTTTTTTCCTTAAGGTCGCAGAAGAAGACTAGCCAAATCTATCAGAATTTACTATCTTGCTTGTTTAGCAATTTTCCATTGAAAAATTGTCCTTTCTATTTTAGCGCTTTCTATGTAATTGTTGTTGGTTTACCTCTTTATTATTTTAATGTTGAACCATCCTTGAAAAACCTGAAATAAATACTACTTGGTAGTGTTATATAATTCTTTTTATACATTTTCAGTTTCACTTGCTAATGTTTGGTTGAAAAATTTTTTCTTTGTGTTCATCTAACAGATCCCTCTATAATTTTTCTTTTTTTTGTTGTTTTTGTCTGGTTTTGGTATTAGGGTAATTCTGGCTTCACAGAATTAGTTAGGAAGTGTTCCTTCTGCTTCTAATTTTCTGGAAAAAAAGATTACACAATCATAATCTTTTTTTAATGTTCAGTGGAATTCACTAGTGAAACCATCCAAGCCTGGTGATTTCCATTTTTGGAAGGTTATTATCACTGATTCAAATTTTTTTTATACAGGAATATAATGTGTAATAGGCACATTAGGGTAAATGCAGTATCTGTCACCTCAAGCATTTATTATTGCTTTGTGTTACAAACATTCCAATTATACTTTTAGTTATTTTTAAATGTACAATAAATGATTGATGACTGTAATCACTCAGTGGTGCTATCAAATGCTAGATCTTATTCACTCTAATGATATTTTTGTACCTGTTAACCATTCCCACTTCTCCCCCACCTCCCCAATACCCTTCGCAGCCTTTGACAACAATAATTCTTCTAACACATATAGCCCTTTTCAAATTATTTATCCTCGTATTATTTTTGGTAGTTTGTGTTTTCAAGAAATTGGTACATTTAGTCTATATTAACAAATTTGAGAGTAGGGAGTTGTTCCTTTATTTCTTTAAAATTCTCTTAATACTTATTAGAACAGTGGTGATGGCTGCTATTTTATCTCTGATATTACAAATGTGTGTTTTCCCTATTTTTTCTTTTTGGTTAGGCTTTGTTATGGGCTGAATTGTGCCCCCAAAATTCATATGTTAAAGTTCTAATTCCTAGTACCTCAGCATGTGACTACAATTGGAAAGACAGCTCTGAAGAGGTGACTATGTTGAAATGAGGCCATCAGGACAGACCCTGATTTAATCTAATGCAAGTCCCTATAAGAAGGGAAAATTTGGACACATAAAGAGACAACAGGGTTCTGCACACAACAAGGAACATTTGTGTGAGCACACAGCAAGAAGGCAGCTATGTGCAAGTCGAGGAGAAAGGCCTCAGGAGGAACTAAAATTGCCTACTCTTTGATCCTGGACCTCTAGCCTCCACAACTATGAGAAAATAAATATCTATTGTTTAAGCTATCAGGCTTTGCTGTTTTGTTATACCATCCCCAGCAAACTAATACAGCCTGGCTACAGGTTTAGCAATTTTACTTCTTTATTTCCTTGATTTTTCTCTATTAATTTTCTGTTTTCAATTTCATTGATACGTGCCACAATTTTTAATTTTTTTCTGCTTAGTTTGAATTTAATTGACTCTTATTTCTAGTTTCCTAAAGTAGAAGCTTGGGTTATTGATTTTAGATCATTGTTTCCTAATATATGTATTCAATTCTATAAATTTCCCTGTAAGCACTGTTTTTCTGTATTCCATAAATTTTAAGTTGTGTTTTACTTTTATTTCAAAATATTTTTAATTTCTCTTTAGAATTCTTCTTTGACCCACATGATCTTTAAATGTGTGTTGTTTAATCTCCCGATATTTGGGATTTTTCAGATATTTTCAGTTATTAATTTTTAATTTGATTCCACTGTGATCTGAGAACATATTTTGTATAATTTTTATACTTTAAGTGTGTTAAGAGGTGTTTTATGGCCCAGAATATGATCTGTCTTGGAGAATGTTGCATATAGGTTTGAGAAAAATGTGTATTCTGCTGTTTGGGAATGAGGTATTATATAAATGTCAAACAGATCTAATTGATTAATGGTGTCATTCACTTCACTATATCCTTACTGATTATTTGCCTGTTAAATTTGTCAATTATTGATAAAGAGGTGTGAAACTCCAGATTTATCTATTTCTTCTTGCAGTTCTATATGTTGTCTCATGAATTTTGAACCTGTTTTTACATTCACACCTATTAAGGGTTGTCAGGTATTCTTGGAGAATCATCCCTTTGATCTTTATGTAATATCCCCTCTATCCCTAATAACTTTCCTTAATTTGAAATCTGCTCTGTCTGAAATTAATATGGTTATTCAAGCTTTCTTTAAAGATATGTCATGCTAACATAATCAATTTTAAAAATAGACTTTTTTTTAGAGAACTTTTAGGTTCACAGCAAAATTAAGCAGAAGTACAGAGATTTCCCATATAACACTGTCCTGACACACATAACCTTCCTTATTATTAATATCCCCTACGAGAGTGGCACACTTATTACATTTGATGAACCCGCATTGACACGAAATTATCACCTGAGTCTAGTTTACATTAGAATTCACTTTTGGTGTTCTACATTCTGTAAGTATAGACAAATATATAATTACACATACACCACTGTAATATAGAGAATAGTTTTACTGTGAAAATCTTCTGTACTTCACCTATTTATTCCTCCCTCCGCACTAAGTTCTAGCAACACCAATCATTGTAATGTCTCAATTTTATCTTTTCCAGAGTGTCATGTAGTTGGACTTACATAGTATGTATCTTTTTATGATTGGATTATTTCACATGATAATACATATTTAAGGTTTCTCCATGTTTTTTTCATGGCTTGGTATCTCTTTTTAGTGCTGAATAAAATTCCATTGTGTGGATGTACCTGAGTTATTTTAACTTAAAATATTCATCTATGGAAACGCATCTTATCTTGGTTACTTCTATGTTTTGACAATTATGAATAAAGATGTTATAATTATCTGTGCAGACTTTTGTGTGTATATACGTTATTTCCCACAAATTCATATATTTACTTCATTGTTAGTCAGTGGAGTACATACACACATATAGATGTCTCTGAGTCACCTTAAGTCACATAATTGCAAGGATACAAACACATGCTAGATCATCCCTGTGGCTGAGTGCCTCTGGGGAATACTCAAGTCCTACTGAGGCTTCTCTCTGTATCTTCTGGCTGCTCTGTCCAGTTCTCCCTGAGCCCACATTCCTACTCTCTTTCCCTTCCATTCTTCCACCATGGTGGCAAGGCAAGGAAGATCCAGTTGAGACAGATCGCAGGTGCACAGAAGACTGAAAAGGCCAGTGTCCACTACAGCTGCTCTGGCGTCCTTCCTTGGTTCACACATTATGTATCGCACCACTTCAAGGACACTGTTAACTCCTGGAAGGAAAGGCCCAGGGCTTCTACCTCCTTGGGCATGGAGATACAGTGGTCAGGAAGAGCAGCTCCTTGTCAGACTGCTTAGTGTGTGACAACTGTGAGGACTCAGGGGCTATAAGCAGGAACAGGACAAGCTTACAAACAAATAACTAAGACCCAATACAGTGCATGCTGGAGCAGAGATGTGCAGAACACTGTGGGAGCACAGGAAGGGGCAGGGCAGGACAGCATCCTCAGAGAGGACACTTACAGGCACTACCCTGTGCCATATTCTGTGTGAGGTGCTTCAACTCCACCTTATTTTATTCTCACAAAGGAGGAAGGTGAGTTCAAAGACAATACCCTTGAAAAGCCACTGAGCTGGGATTCAGCTCCAGATCTTTCTGGTTCTAAAATCTATCTATGCTTTTTCCCTTGTACAGGCTACCACCCGAGGGGACACCAGCTCTGGGACTCAAAAAATGGTAAAGAGACCTCCAGAATCAATGAATCACTTTCAGAGAAAAGAAAAGAAAAACTTTAAAAACACAAAGAAAAAAAATACCACATTTTCCCCAAATTTCACGTCATAACCAACTAGAAGTGCAAACGTAAGTGATGCTGGAAACAAGACTCTGGCAAGAAGGGCCTTCTGAGCAAGGTCAGCATCTCCTCCCAACAGCTCTTTCTCCCAACAATGCCAGGGGATCTTTCAAAATTGCCACTGCTGCTGCTAAGCTCCAGAAGAGAGGTTTCTGAACTTCAATGTCTTTATCATAGCTCACTCTCTGGGTTCTCAGATAGATATATATATATCAGGGTTGTCTTCATCTGAATGAAGCTGGAAACTCTGCCTGACAGCATGCTTATAATGCTCCTGGATGCCCTTGGTCGGCAGCTGCAGCGGCAAATGTCTGTAGAGCTGTAGCAGCCTCCAGACCAGCTCTGTCCCTGGTGGTAGCAGGATCATCTGCAAGATCGTCTGCGCCTGCTTCGTGAAACCACCTGCTATGTCTATATTTGAGTCATCCATAAAAATGCTTAATCAGATTAGAGCTAAGTACCCCACAGGGCATGGGCAGGAACAAGTTCAAACATCTATAAAAAGCACTTGATTGTACTGTTATCCAGTACTTCTCAATCTTCTCTACAAAACCTTGCTCTGTGCTTTTCTGAAACACAAGAACATCATATGCAGCTTCCCCCTGCCTCCACGGGGGACATCAGCCCTGGACACTGCCACACCAATTAGTGTATTTAAATTTTTAACTCATTTGGGTAAATAGTAATAAGCATGATTTCGGAATTACATATACGAGTATGTTTAGTTTGTGACAAACTGCCAAACTGTTTTCCAAAGTAGCTGTACCATTTTGCATTCCCAGCAGCAACGAATAAGAACTCCTGTTGCCCTACATCCTTGCGAGCATTCCATGTTGTCACGGTTCTGGGTTTTTGGCCATTCTAATAGGCACGTAGTGATATTTCATTGTTTGTTTTAATTTGGATTTCTCTGATGATATATGGTGTAGAGCAATTTTTCCTATGCTTATTTTACATCTCTCTATCTTTTTTGGTGAAGTGTCTGTTAAGGTGTTTGGCCCGTATTTTAATAGGGATGTTTTCGTATTGTTGAGATTTAGGTGATCTTTGTATATTTTGGGTAATTGTCCTTTACCAGGTATATCTTCTGTAAATATTTTCTTCCCGTCTATGCCTTATCTTTTCATTCTCTTGACAGTTTCTTTTACAGAGCATAATTTTTTAATTTTAACGAAGTCTAATTCATCATGGATCTTGCCTTTGGTGTTATTTCTAAAACTTCATCACAATACCAAAAATTTTCTCTGCTTATCATCTAGGAATTTTATTTTGCATTTTATATTTAGGTCTGTTATTAATTTTGACTTACTATTTTTGAAGGGTGTAAATGTCTTGTGTGCTGCCATCTATTATCTCATACATTCTGATCTGTTTTACATTAAATCTTCTGTATCTCTCTTTCTGAAATTTGAGTCAAAGTTCCAGGAGGTGTTATATTTATCTTTAATTCCTTCTTCACCATCAGACCCCTGCTTCCACCCTTGCCCAACCCCCACATCGTCTAATATTATTTTTCATAACTGAACTGTATTTTGGGTACAGGCTCTGACAAGTGCTTACTTATGCTACATTATTTAATTATAACAAGAATTCTATTTTTTTTAGATATTATTATCCCTGGGGCAAATAGAGTCCTAAAGTGGCCCCAATGATCCTCTCTCCCTAGTACTATTATCCTGAATAATTCATTTTCCTTTAATGTGGGTGGAAACTATGGCTTGCTTCTACGGATAGAATATGGCAAAAGTGAAAGGATTTTGCAGATGTAATTAAGGTCTCAGATCAATCAAATAGAAGATTATCCTGAGAAGACCTGACCTAAGTGAAATCTCTTAAAAAAAAAAAAAAAAAAAAAAGGACGGGGCTCTCCCTGAAGTTAAAGACTCTGCTTTTACTCTTTATGAATTCAAAAGGAATGTCAGGAAGCCTTCAGGCAGCAGCCAGAAGAAAGCTGGGGCCCTTTTCCATACAGCTGAAAGATAAAGAATCTGTTAGATACCTGAAGAGCTTAGAAGTGAGTGGCTCTCCAGATAAGAATGCAGGCAAGCTAACATTTTTTACAGCCTGTTACACTCTGAGCATAGACGAACCACCCATGCCATGCCTAGGCTCTTGACCCATGGAAATTGTTAGATAATAAATATATGTTGAAGTTGTAATAATATTGGTACAGTCATTCTAATTTATTTGTGTGTGAAAAATATGTGTCTGTGTTAAAATATGTAAGTAATGTCATGGCTACAATCCCAGCACTTCAGGAGGCCAAGGCGGGAAGATGACTTGAGATCAGGAGTTTGAGACCAACCTGGCCAACGTGGTAAAACGCTGTCTCTACTAAAAATACAAAAATTAGCTGGGCATGGTGGTGGGCACCTGTAATCCCAGCTAATTGGGAGGCTGAGGCAGGAGAATTTCTTGAACCTGGGAGGCAGAGGTTGCTGTGAGCTGAGATTGCCCCACTGCACTCCAGCCTAAGTGACAGAGGGAGGCTTTGTCTCAAAATAAATAATAAAATATGTAAGTAATAATTTTAGAGTCATTGGGAAATATTTCAACTCAAGAGAAAAAATATAAATATCAAATCAAAAACATAATGAAAAATTCCTAAATGTGAATTTAATTATTTTGTCTTAAAATAACAATAATACCTATTTCTTAGTTTTTTTCTGTTGAAAAATCCTAAACACAATGACCAACCTAGTAACAATGAGCATTGGTGTAATAACACTGGCGTCTCAATACCATATTCCATTAAAAGTAACCAGAGTTCCTTGGATAGATGGTTGATTCCAGGCATGAAATATGTAAGGTAAGCCTGCTCATTTTTTCATAGCAGAAACCAAAGCAGCTTCCAAAAATACTAGGATTCAGTCAAAAAGACTCAGGAGCCAACTTGAAGAAATCCCTTATGACCAAAACAGAAAAAAATTAAATATTCATTGAAAGAATCACTGCAGTGAGTTGAAACATGTTAAATATATTGCCATTTTAATGATCATATAGACAAAACCAAACAAGAACCTACTAATGGTCACATTTCAGAGATGTTTCAAACCCAGTGAAGTATTCTGAAAACACATCAAAGAGGAAATAATCATTCTATTATTATTTCCTATACGAATGTGTGTCAGAGTAACAACATGATTGATGAAGTCAAGTTTCTCTCTACACACATAGTCTATCTTAAAAATAAGATAGTGTCACCATTTCATTAATTTATGATGAAAAATGGAAAATTACATTACGACAAGGAGAGGTAATTAGAAATTTTGGTACTCTTTATTAACCAGCACCCAACTATATCCGAAGTACTGTTGTTTAAAAAAGAAATCAAACCTGAATCAGATAGAGCTTCTAGATCTAAATACAAGAAATACAAATGGCCAAGTTGTTTTCAACAAATACATTGCAAGAGGACAGGAAAAACTGCAGGAACTAATACATTAAGATAATCTTTTAAGACATGTTTATTAAATTGTATGTTTGAACTTTGAGTACCAACTTGAAATAATCAAATATTTTTAAAAAGTTAAGCAAACAAAAAATACTTATGAGAGAACTGCGGACTAGATACTTGATGATATGAAGAATTTAGTCAAGTTTTTGTAAGCTGTAATTATATAATGATTGTTTCAAAAAAAAGTTCTTATGTAGAGATAAATTCTGAAATTTTTACAGCTGACATTAAGTTAAGCCTGGCATTTTCAAAGTAATCCCACAGAGTAAGGAGGAGGGTAGAATATGAGGGTGCATAGATGAAACATAAGTTGATGTTAGATATACATGGGCTTTCCCTTGCTTTTGACTTTCATATATATTTGAAATTTATCATAATCAAATTGTAAACTAAAATTTGCTTCAAATTTTAAAATAATTGGAAGACAAGTCACAGAAACCATAGACTGAGATCAAAATATTTATAAAAGTCATACCCAGTGAAGGACTATTAACCAAAATATACAAAGAACTCTTAAAGCTTAACAGTAAGAAAAGAAACAATCCAACTTAAAAATAGGTGAAAGATCTAAACAGACACCTCAGCAAAGATCTACAGATGACAAGCTGTAAAATGATGCCTACCATCATATATTATTAGGGACTTGCCAATAAAAACAATAAGATACCATTACATACCAATTAAAATGGCCAAAACCCAGAGCACTCAATACCAAATGCTCATTAAGATGTAGACAGAGCAATAGAAATTCTCATTTATTGCTGGTGGGAATGCAAAATGGTACAACCACTTTGGAAAACCGTTTGGCAGTTTCTTATAACACTAAGCATGCTCTTACCATACAATCCAGAAATCATGTTCTTTGGTTCCCAAATGAATTGAAAACTTAAATACACACAAAATGCTGCACACAGATGTTTATAGCATCTTTATTCATAATTGTCAAAACTTAGAAGCAAGCAAGATATGCTTCAGAAGATGAATGGATAAAATAACTTTGGTACATCCAGACAATGGAATTTTATTCAGCACTAAAAAGAAATGAGATGCCAAGCTGCAAAAAGACATGGAGAAAACTTAAATGCATATTATTATGTGAAAGTGTCCACAAAAAACTTACACACTGTGTAAGTCCAACTGTATGACATTCTGGGAAAGAAAAAACTATTGAGATATAAAAAGATGAGTGATTGCGAGGGACTTACAGGAAGTGAGGGATGAATTGGTGGAACACAAACTTTTAAGGCAGTGAAACTATTCTGTATGCACTATAATGGCGGAAACTTGTCATTATATATTTGTCTAAATCCATATGTACATCACCAAAAGTGAGACCTAATATAAAGTATTGACTTTATATGATAAAGATACGTCAATGTGGGTTCACATCAATTGCAACAAGTGTACTGCTCAGCCCAGAGATACTGGTAATGGGGTAGGTTATGTATGTGTGGAGACGGGATATATGGAAACTCTGCTTACCACTTAATTTTGCTGTGAACCTAAAACTTCTCTAAATATAAAGTCAATTTAAAAATTGCTTCAAACTTCTTGTACTTTTAAACTTTATATTACAACCTCAGTGTTAGTTTTGATCTGCATAATCAAAAAGAAAAGTAAAAGCAACTCATGGGTTGGTAGTTTTTTCAGTAGCTGTCAAAGAATCCTAGCTTAAGTACAGAGGTGTTTCTTGGGAGCTGTTTGTACTAAATGCACCAACAAGGGAAAACCAATAAAGCTGTTTAAATGGTTTCCCAGGGACCTTCGTGATGATGGAATACTACTTGTCTTATAAGACCAATAGCTGTACGTGTTCTCATTTTTCTTTATTTGTCTAGAAACTATGACTATACCTACTTAAACACAGACAAACTTGGGATCTGGAAAAACTGCAAAGCAAAACTGAGTGTTTTCCCCTCTCACTGTCATAACTGGCTGAAAAATAGCTTTAATTTCTCTTTGACTTATACATAATAAATCATTAAAACTCCTGAACGCAGTATCTTTAGAATGCAGCTTGTTTCCTTTTTAAAAAATTAATACAGAAGACCTGTAGACACCAGCATTCTTAGAAAGCCAAGTGAGGCAATATTCTGTTTGACATGGGATGTTATATTAGATAAGACTGTACTGAAATGTGAGTAATAATTTTAGTTAATAGTCTAAAAATTAATGAAAAGTCTAATGATATGAGAGTGAATTTTTTCTTCATAATGACAACTAGCGCTCTAATTCATGTGTTCTTAAATATTCCCTTACATAAGATTTGGTAAAAATTTAAATTACGGATAATTTATTTTAACCACTTGTTCTACAAAATTAAAAAAAAATTAAACATGTCCACAAAATTTCTGCTCAAAGAACATTGCTTTACTCATTTATATGTGAGACTCAGACATGTTCTCTGATTCACAAGAGCTATTTCAAGTTATTTTAAATGGGTGGGTAGAAACAAATTACATAAATCAATTAATATATCTATATGAATATATAATTTCCAAACTGATCAGTGATAATATCAATATATTACCATATCTGTAACATTTTATACTCTTCACAGTCCTAAATTTTACCTGTATGCTGTCATTTGGAAGAGTAGGAAAATACCTACTTAGAGGCAAGATGAGTTCAGTATATCATCCTCAGTACCCTATTTACTCTTTCATTTGACAAGTATATATGAAAAAGCAACTGTATTCAACAGTGTGGTTAGCTCTGATGTAGATACAAAAGAAATAGAATAATAGCATATAGATCTGTGAGGAAAAAGGGAAATAAGTTTGGCAGAGTACTCATTCTGTGACAGTACATGTTATGCAATTTAAGTATGCTATTTTATTTAATTTTACAGAATTTAAATTTAAAAAATAGGCATTATTTAAGGAGAAAAGACATTTTTAGTCACTCAAATCAAAATAAATACACAAACAAAACTAAAAATCTTATTCTAAATGAAATGGAAAAAAAAAAAAACTATTGGCAGTGTAGATTGCAGTTGGGAAAACTAGATTAGGGAAATAGGCGGGAATTTAGAGAAGCTAAGCTCCAAGAATTTCTACTGCAGTCACATCACAGAATCAGTCCACATGAGACATCACAGCTACTGGACACTGGATGTCACCATGATGCCATTGCCATTGTACACTGGAAGTCACCACAAATACCAAAAGTATTTGTGCCTCTCGACCCTAGACTCTTCTGATATTCAAATTCTCAAGCAAAGAGTAAATTGGCTAACTTTATGACATGTGTCCTGAGCCCTCATGTGAGAGTTCAGAAAGCCTAAGCGCTTGTCTTCTGGCTCCCTTTCTCCTCTGCTTTCCTTTAGGAAAAAACAAACAAACAAACAAACAAAAAACGTAAAATTAAAGGGTGACATTCTCATTTTAAATGACATTAGAATTACATTTGTTCAGACTCTGCTGTCGATGAACATATGAAAAGGTACAAAATACCTTCACCCCTAAAAATACTAGATAAAATTAAAACCATATATTTTGTGATACTATCAAAGAGCAGAGGATACAAGGTAAATTCCATTGAGAAACTAGTACTTTAAAAGTGAGCTGAGAGCTATGGCAACTTCCAAACTTGGGTCCATCACATAGTCTGAGTACAGATGGATGAAGGGGCAGTCCTTCCATTGGAAGAGAGAGAGAATTTTCAGAGACAGAAAAAATCAGCTGACGTTTATGCAAGAGTGTGAACTGATAAAATATACTAGAAGGAGAAAGAGCTCCAAATACAATACATTTCTCAGCCTAACACTTCTTGTTCTATCCTTACGCTACTTTTGTTGTTGGGGGGGGAAATGGTTTGAGGAAAGAACTAGAAAACTGAGAAAATTACATGCCCCTGCATACTGTTGCAGTACTTGGGTTCTGGAGCCCTGCCAGAATGGAATTCAAAAGTAAACCAAAATAATCTGAAACAGTGTGCCCAACCTATTCCCAGCTCAAACAGACAAAGACAAATGGCAGAAGTATGGGAATTGCAGGTTGGACAAATCACAGATAAATTCAATCTAATTTAAATTTTGGCCCAGTTTTAACTCAACTTCAGGTAAGGGCAAATCTGAACTATAAGTAACTCATCTTTACAACTCCCTGGATAATAAGCAAAACAAAATGAAAATTCACTTAGATCTCCAACGTTCTTTTTATGCATAATGCCCCCAATATGATAAGAAAATATGTATGACATGATAAGAAAATATGTATGACAGATGACTGTAACTCAAACAAGATGAAAAACAGTCAAGAAAGAAGATACCTTCAGATGATTCCATTTTTGGAATTAGCGTCTAAGAACTAAAAAAAAGTATACGTAAGTTAAATATTTTATGAGGAAAGACATAAGTAAAGAGATGAGATGTGCAAGGTGTGAAATGGAGACTACATATAAAAAATCAAGTAAAAAGTGTAAAACTGAAAAATAAAATATCTACATTCAAAAGTTTATTTCATTTGCTTGCCAAAATTGGAAACAATGAAAAAGGATAAGTAAACTTATAGACATGTCAATACAAATTAGAAAAATTAAAGCATAGTAAAGGAAATGAAATTTTAATTTAATTTTTAAATAACAATGCATTTTAGGAATTACAGCATTTAGTAAAATACATGAAACATTGGCACAAAGAATGGGGAAAGCTAAGCAGAATGTTGCATTATATGATAAGTGGTATAATATTTCAAAGTAGATTTTGTAATCAATAATTCAAAGATGTAGTAAATCCTGAAGAAACAAGCTATGTGTTAAGTTGAAATGCCACGATTAAAATTAAACTAGAGAGGGCATTTCATGTTCTTACTAAGCTGTGCTTTCATCTCTGGATATATTTGATAATTGCTCTCAAACATGTCATCCCCAAGGATGCCCTCTCTCAGCACTTCTATTCAACATAGTATTAGAAGGTCTGGCTAGAGCAATCAGGCAAGAGAAAGAAAGGGCATTCAGATAGGAAAAGAGGAAGTCCAACTAACCCTGTTTGCAGATGACATAATCCTATATCTAGAAAACCTCATCATCTCAGCCCAATAGCTTCTTAAGCTGATAAGCAACTTCAGCAGAGTCTCAGGATACAAAATCAATGTGCAAAAATTGCTAGCATTCCTATATACCAACAACAGTCAAGCTGAGAGCCAAATCATGAATGAGCTTATGAACTTCCATTTATAATTGTCACAGAAAGAATAAAATACCTAGGAATATAGCTGTCAAGGGAGGGGAAAGATCAATAAAAGGATAACTACAAATCACTGCTCAATGGAATCAGAAATGACCTAAACAAATGGAAAAACATTCCATGCTCATGGATAGGAAAAATCAGTATCATTAAAATGGCCATATTACCCAAAGTAATTTATAGATTTGATGCTATTTCTATCAAACTACCATTGATATTCTTTACAGAACTAGAAAAAAAAACTATTTTAAATTCATATGGAACCATAAAAGAGCCCAAATAGCCAAGGCAATTCTAGGCAAAAAGAACAAAGCTGGAGGTATCACACTACCTGACGTCAAAATATATTACAGGATTACAGTAAGCAAAACACCATGGCACTGGTACAAGAATAGACACATAGACCAATGCAACAGAATAGAGAACCCAGAAATAAAACTGCACACCTACAACTATCTGATCTTGGACAAACTTGACAAAAACAAGCAATGAGGAAAGGACTCCCTATTCAATAAATGGTGCTGGGATAACTGGCTAGCCATTTGCAGAAAATTGAAACTGGACCCCTTCCTTATACCACATACAAAAATTAACTCAAGATGGATTAAATACTTAAATGTAAAACCCAAAACTATAAGAACCCTGAAAGACAACCTAGGCAATACCATTCAGGACATAGGCATGGGCGAAGATTTCATGACGAAGATTCAAAAAGCAATTGCAACAAAAGCCAAAATTGACAAATGAGATCTAATTAAACTAAAGAGCTTCTGAACAGCAAAAGACACTGTCAACAGGGTAAACAGACAACTCACAGAATGTGAGGAAATTTTTGCAACCTATGCATCTGGCAAAGGTCTAATATCCAGCATGTATAAGGAGCTTAAAGAAATTTACAAGAAAAAAAAACCCTTTAAAAAGTGGGAAAATGACATGAGCAGACATTTCTCAATAGAAGACATACATGCAGTCAACAATCGTAAAAAAAAAGCTCAACATCGCTGACCATTAGATAAATGAAAATCAAAACCACAGTGAGATAACATATCTCACATCAGTCAGAATGGCTATTATTAAAAAGTCAGGAAACTACAGATGCTGGAGAGGATGTGGAGAAATAGGAATGCTTTTACACTGTTGGTGGGAGTGTAAATTAGTTCAACCATTGTGGAAGACAGTGTGGTAATTCCTCAAAGACCTACATATAGAAATACCATTTGACCCAGCAATCCCATTACTGGATATATATCCAAAGAAATATAAATCATTCTATTATATAGAAACACGCATGCATATGTTCATTGCAGCACTATTCACAATAGTAAATGCATGGAATCAACCTAAATGACCATCAATCATAGACTGGATAAAGAAAATGTGGTACATATACAACATGGAATAAGATGCAACCATATAAAAGAATGGGATCATGTCCTTTGCAGTGACATGAATGGAGCTGAAAACCATTATCCTTAGCAAACTAACGCAGGAACAGAAAATCAAATATGGCATGTTCTCACTTATAAGTGGGAGCTAAGTGATGGGCACACATGGACACATAGAGGGGAACAACACACACTGGAGCCTACCAGAGGGTGGAGGGTGAAGGGTGGAAGGAGGGAGAAATCCAGGCAAAATAACTAAGGAGTGCTAGATTTAATACCTGGGTGATAAAATAATCTGTACAACAAACTCCCATGATACACCTTTACCTATGTAACTAATCTGCACATCCTGAACATGTACCCTGAACTTAAAGTTTTAAAAAGAGATTTTAAAGAATATCTAAAAAAAAAAGTTATCAACTCTAGACACATCGAGTGGTTGCATTGACTATTCTCTGTGCACATATTTATCAGGGCACACATAACCACAGAAATTATTAGCTATCATAGTATTTAACAAGGTTCAATATTTAACGATGCAATATTTGACAAGTTTCAAATATTTCCCATAGTAAACAGCTAGGTAATTAGGAGAAATTTAAAAGAATTAAAATAGTAGGTAGCCATACTCATAAAAATTCACAATTTACTGACATAGATAAAACATTCTCTAGTGCCATAAACACTGGAGACATAATTAAAATATTTTTCAAGAAAGTGTGTAACAACTATTAAAATTATTAGAATAGGGCCAGGTCCACTGCCTCACATCTATAATATCAGCACTTCGAGAGGCTGAGGTGAAAGAATTGCTTGAGGCTAGGAGTTTGAGATCAGTCCAGGCCACACAGTGAGACTTTGTCACTACTAAATAATAAAAAAAAAATTAGCTGGGCATAGTGGTGTCCGCCTGTTATCCTAGTTATTGGAGAAGCTGAGGCAGGAGGGAGGATCACCTGCACCCAGGATTGTTGAGGCTACAATGAGCTGTGATCATGCCACTGCACTCCAGCCTGTTTGACCAAACAAGGCCCTGTTTCAGGGAGAGAGAGAGAGAGAGAGGAGGGAGAGGGAGAGAGAGAGGGAGAGAGAGAGAGAGAGAGAGAGAGAGAGAGAGAGAGACAGAGCGAGAGCGCGAGCGCGGGTGAGCGCGCTCTTAGAATTCTATTTCTGTTATACAGGTGGGAAAGAAAAAAAAAATCTTAAAACAAAAAAATTCCTGGCCGTCGGGTGCAGTGGCCCAATCCTGTAATCCCAGCACTGGGAGGCTGAGGTAGGAGAATTACTTGAGGCCAAGAGTTTGAGGATGCAATGAGATGTGATTGTACCACTGCACTCCAACCTAGGCAGCAGAGTGAGATCCTGTCTCTAAAAAACAAACAAATCCTGGAGATATTTGTGTATATGTCAAGAAAGGGTAGCTGTGTGCTTCTTTTTGAAAAATAGAAAATTTCATGCAACTATGGAACTAGGCATTCCAGATCTAGGAAAAACCAAAAGCAATGATGATGACAAAGATAACTAAGATCATAAAAATGATAATGATAGCTACTTATTTAGTAAAAGCTACTTATTTGACACCTCTTATATGTAGTAATTTAATTCATTTTTTGATTAAGCACCCCAGAAGTTACTTAACGTTGCTTTAATTGTTTTGCTGGAACTAGAAGTCACTTATGTAAATTGTCCAGGTTCAAACAGCTGGTAAAGAAATCTCTTTGTAACATAAATCACTTTATACGGTTTTAGACAACTTGTTCTTTAACCTTAGCTTCTACTTTTCAAACTCATACTCTTTGCTGGAAGAATTGGTGCTAGATTCAATAATGAGGGCTGATGAGAGGGTGTTTTGGAGAAGTGGTCCAGGAAATATAAATACTTCTTGAGATTGGACATAGGCAAGAGACATAGGGTTATGCCCCCCAGTTAAGAGTCAACTTTGATTAAGTAGCAAGAATAAATTTTAAGATAGATTAAAATATCTTCCAGAATTTTTGCTTCTGTGCCCCATGATTATTCTTTGTAATCATAGAACTGTGTGCTGGAAATATAGACATGAGAAATACTGCTAAAGTTTCTGTCTGGATGCAAATAATAGTCTTGCTATAATATATATCTTACTGTTTAATTTAGAATATATTAAATAATTTTGCCCTATGTCTCGAGTTATTATTATAAACTTAAATAATGGATACATAATCCAAAAATCAAACCCTGTTACAACAAATATCTGGAACTGTTTTCATATTTTTCTACAATAGCATATGTTCTACAAATTAAAGTCACTTCTGAATCATCAATATTCACTTACATCTTTACGTTTGTGTAAATATATTGAGTATATAGTCTTTTGCATAAAATTTAGCTATGTTTTCAATTATTTTCAATAGTCCATTTCGAGTAAAAATTATTACCAAAATATCCATAAACAAAACTGTAACCTAGTCAAGCAAAACTGTTTTGAAATATACATTGTATGATGTGTTGAATGTTATTAAATATATATGTGTGTGTGTGTGTGTGTTACTGTTGTTGATGGATAAACTCTACATATATACTGAAATGCTGAAAATCCAAACAATTTTAAAAGTGGTTCTGAGTTTTTTTTCTTAATGGCCTACTTACCAGCTTATAGAAAGCATTGTGAAGATATATTATTTCTTGGAAGTTTAAACATGGGATAAATTTAAGATTGTGGCTTTAAATAAGGATCTGGCACTGGAAAATGTACCAGATTATTTCGTTTATTGCTAATCAAACACAGAAAACTTAGCGGTATCTAAAATCTATAACAGGTTTGCTTATCTCTCTTATAATAAGTCATAATTATTATGCTGTTCCATATGTTTAGAATCAGCCCACTTTGCCTACCTAAGCTTATGATGGAGAGTATTAATTTAAAATTGGTACTTGAGTTAGGTTATCAGGAATTATATAGCCAACACCAATGCTTTGTCACCAAATTCTTATGTGAAAGATACACATCTGGAGCTCCTGTAATCCGTATGTTCCGGCACTGACATTTCTAATGATATAAGCAGTAGCCTAGAGCCTAAAAGTTTTACTGCTATCTGGATGGCAAACTGTATGATGGAAATAATGTAATTAACAAAAATTCTCTTGAGTTTCAGTTGAAAATGTAAAACATTTTTCTATTTCCCTGGAGTCATTGAATTTTTTTCTGAAATGTTATCTCTATAAAATATTGAGAGCCAAACAAACAATTCAGAAAGCAAAGAAAGCGATTTTAATTAAAACAAGTGCATATCTTGTTCGATTTTCCTTTTAAAAAATTCCCAGACTGACAATAAACTTTAATATCCAGATTGTCTTATATGTGACATTTGCTTTCATAAACCATGCAGTTATCAAGAGCTAATCCTGTAGAGAAACTAATCAAGGAAGGTGTTACACAAATGCAAAACATATGATTAAAGAGGGGGAAGGCAAATCTCATGCAAAGAAGTGAATATTATAACGAAATTGCCACTGAATAGAGATGTGAAGACTTCAAGCTCAATTTAATTAGACCACTGAGTGGAATCCCCTAAGAACAACAAGAATTCAACAGCTAATAATCAGTTTGTTCTTTACTGATTACCAGTTAATCATGTCCCAAACACAACCCTGGTCCTCTTTCTAATTATGAATACATTTTCAGGCCTCTTCTTTAATTTCTACATTTTTTATGGGTGCGCAAATCTTAATCAGCTAACTCTAAGAGAACCTACAACCAGTGAGCATCTTGAGAGGCCTTCCTACTGTTTAAGAAGTAAATATTTGCATCCTTTTGTGCCACAGTGGTAAACATTAGCTGATCTTGTAAGAGGAAAAAAAGGAGCATAGGAGGCTTGTGCACACCAGCCTAGGGCAGATCCTTTCTAAATAAAGATTATTTTCCTTTATAAAGTGCATGTTTCTTATGGTAATTTGGACATCATGCACATGCATACACACACACACAGTAGAAAAGAGTGAAAAAATTGTTCACGATTCTACCGTGAAAGTAAATCATTGATAACAGTCTTATTTTCTTCATATATATTTGAAAAGGAGATATACACTTCTCATGTATGTGTTTATACTTTTATAAATAAATGCATTTTAATATTAAAATTTAACCGTATACACATTCTCAAAATATCCATTTAAAATATTTAATACCTGCATACTTTACTATAAATTGTATATAACATATTTCAATAGTTATTAGTAATCATTTAGTTGGCTCCTCTTTTTAATATTATTTATGACTATTTGATAGAAACCTTAGGATTTAAAAAATATTTTAAATTTATGGTTATTTCCTACAGAGATTTTCGAAAGGAATAAACTTATTGATTGTTTAAATGTTCTTCCAAACACCAATGTTCAAAGAAGCACTTCAGCTTTCTGGGCTCAGGTCTTTTATTTGATTATAATAATTTCATTCTTTAGAACTCTGTAATTATTTTCTCTCTTTTTCTGTTTAAACTTCTGGATTTTTTTCTTAATAGCTCAGTTCTCTAGATTCTGAACTCTATATCTTCTACTTCTTGCAAGTATCCTAACTTCAGTATTCTGCTCATCTTCATTCTGGAAGTAAATTATTTTTCTCTTTATTTTTATTTTTATATTTTTTGAAATGGAGTCTCGCTCTGTTACCCAGGCTGGAGTGCAGCGGCGGGATCTTGGCTCACTGCAACCTCCGCCTCATGGTTTCAAGCAATTCTCCTGCCTCAGCCTCCCGAGTAGCTGGGATTACAGGCACCCGCCACCATGTCTAGCTAATTTTTGTATTTTTCTCAGAGACAGGGTTTCATCATGTTGTCCATGCTGGTCCCAAACTCCTGACCTTGTGATCTGCCCACTTAGGCCTCCCAAAGTGCTGGGATTATAGGCATGAGCCGCCGCGCCCGGCTGAGGAAATAGCTTCTATGCGAGCACACTCCTTCACTAGTTCAGGCTTTGGCAATCAATGCAACTACTTAAATACTAAAAGAAAAAATCATTGCCAATATCTTTATTGATAGTAATAGCTGTATTTTTAACATTTTAATGCTTTAATTGTAAATTGAATATTATAGCTTAATTGAGTGCTCATTATGTACCAGGAAGTTTACAGGCACTTCCTATGATGTGGTTTTTTTCATCATCATTTTATTATATGAAGAAACTAAGGCTAAGAGAAGTTAAATAACTTGCCTACTTAATCCAACTACCAAAGAGCAAAGGTATGTTTCAGACATAGACTCGTGAGTCCAAAGCTTATGCTAACTTTCTTACATGATGTATCCTCTCAGACAGGATGGTTAACAGTCTATTGGTATAAGTTACAGGGTAGTGAAAGGGTAGATGGAGTGGTGGATTGGCTAGCAGGTAAAGAGGTAACATAGGTTTAAAAAAAAATTGAGATAGCAGACTGTGCAGACTTGAGTCAAATCAACTTTAAGTTCTGTTCTGCTATTTACTAGCTGTGTAATATTAAAATAAGTATTTAATCTTTCCAAGTCTCACTTTTTGAATCTATTAAATGGGGATTATGATGAGTAGCTTATAGAATTGCTATGCAATGTGCAAAGACAAATATAGGTTCAAAATAAAGGGATGGAAGGCAAATGGAAAACAAAGAATAATAAAAAAATTAAAAAAGCAACGGTTGCAATCCTAGTCTCTGATAAAACAGGCTTTAAACCAACAAAGACGAGAAAAGACAAAGAAGGGCATTACATAATGGTAAAGGAGTCAATGTAACAAGAGCAGCTAAATATCCTAAATATATATGCACTCAACAGAGGAGCACCCAGATTCATAAAGCAAGTGCTTAGAAACCTACAAAGAGACTTAGACTCCAACAAAATAATAGTGGGAGATTTTTAATACCTCACTGTCAATATTAGACAGATCTACAAGACAGAAAATTAACAACGTTATTCAGAACTTGAACCCAGCACTGGACCAAGAGGACCTGATAGACATCTACAGAACTCTCCACCGCAAAACAACAGAATATACATTCTTCTCAGCACCACATCACACTTATACTAAAATTGGCCACACAATTGGAAGTAAAACACTCCTCAGCAAATGCAAAAAACAACAACAACAACAAAAAACAAAAAACAAACAAACAAAAAACAGAAATCATAAGTCTCTCAGACCACAGTGAAGTCAAATTGGAACTAAGGATTAAGAAACTCACTCAAAACCGCACAACTACATGGAAACGGAACAACCTGCTCCTGAGTGACTACTGGGTAAATAACTGAATTAAGGCAGAAGTAAATATGTTCTTTGAAATCAATGAGAACGAAGACACAATGTGCCAGAATCTCTGGGACACAGCTAAAGCAGTGTTTAGAGTGAAATTTATAGCACTAAATGCCCACAGGAGAAAGCAGAAAAGATTTGAATTGACACTCTAACATCACAATTAAAAGAACTAGAGAAGCAAGAGCAATCAAATTCAAAAGCTAGCAGAAGAAATTACTATAATCAGAGCAGAAGTGAAGGACATAGACATAAAAAAACCCTTCCAATAATCAAGGAATCCAGGAGCTGATTTTTTTTTAAAAGATTGACAAAGTAGATAGACCATTAGCCAGACAAAGAAGAAGAGAGAGAAGAATCAAATAGATACAATAAAAAATGATAAAGGGGATATCACCAGTGATCCCACAGAAATACAAACTACCATCAGAGAATACCATGAACACCTCTATGCAAATAAACTAGAAAATATAGATTGGATAAATTCCTGGACACATAAACCCTCCCAAGACTAAAACAGGAAGAAGTCAAATCCCTGAATAGACCAATAACAAGTTCTGAAATTGAGGCAGTGATTAATAGCCTACCAACCAAAAAAAGCCCAGGACCAGATGGATTAGCAGCCGAATTCTACCAGAGGTACAAAGAGGAGCTGGTACCATTCCCTCTGAAATTATTCCAAACAATAGAAAAAGAAGGAATCCTCCCTAACTCATTGTATGAAGCCAGCAGCAACTTGATACCAAAACCTGGCAGAGACACAACAAAAAAAGAATATCCCTGATGAACATCGATGCGAAAATCCTCAATAAAATACTGGCAAACCAAATCCAGCAGCACATCAAAAAGCTTATCCACCATGATCAAGTCAGCTTCATCCCTGGGATGCAAGGCTGGTTCAACATTTGCAAATCACTAAACGTAATCCATCGCATAAACAGAACCAATGACAAAACCACATGATTATATCAATAGATGCAGAAAAGACCTTTGACAAAATTAAACAGCCCTTCATGCTAAAAACTCTCAATAAACTGGGTATTGATGGAACATATCTCAAAATAAGAGCTATTTATGACAAACCTACTGCCAATATCATACCAAATGGGCAAAAACTGGAAGCATTCCCTTTGAAAACTGCTGATGCCCTCTTTCACCACTCCTATTCAACATAGTGTTGGAAGTTCTGGCCAGGGCAATGAGGCAAGAAAAAGAGAGGGTATTCAAATAGGAAGAGAGGAAGTCAAATTGTCTGTTTGCAGATGACATGATTGTATATTTAGAAAACCCCATCATCTCAGCCCAAAATCTCCTTAAGCTGATAAGCAACTTCAGCAAAGTCTCAGGATACAAAATCAATGTGCAAAAATCACAAGCATTCCTATATACCAATAAAATCAAAACCACAATGAGGTACCATGTCACACCAGTTAGAATGGCAATTATTAAAAAGTCAAAAAACAGATCCTGGGGAGGATGTGGACAAATAGGACCACTTTTACACTGTTGGTGGGAGTGTAAATTAGCTCAACCATTGTGAAAAACAGTGTGGTGATTCCTCAAGGATCTAGAACCAGAAATACCATTTGACCCAGCAATCTCATTACTGGGTATATACCCAAAGGATTATAAATCATTCTACCATAAAGACACACACACAACGTATGTTTATTGCAGCACTATTTACAATAGCAAAGACTTGGAACCAACCCAAATTCTTATCAATGGTAGACTGGATAAAGAAAATGTGGCACATCTACACCATGGAATACTATGCAGCCATAAAAAGAAATGAGATCATGTCCTTTGCAGGGACATGGATGAAGCTGGAAGCCATTATCCTCAGCAAACTAACACAGAAACAGAAAACCAAACACCACATGCTCTCATTTATAAGTGGGAACTGAACAAGGAGAACTCATGGACACAGGGAGGGCAGCAACACATACTGGGGCCTGTCAGAGGGTAGCTTGAGTGGAGATCATTAGGAAAAATAGTTAATGCGTGCTGGACTTACTCCCTAGGTGATGGGTTGTTAGGTGCAGCAAACCACCATGGCACATGTTTACCTATGTAACAAACCTGCACACCTGCCTGTGTACCCCAGAACTAAAAATACAAATTAAAAAAAGAAACACAACTGTTTCTGTGTGCTGATTTTCTAGCTTGCAACCTTAATGTGTTTGTTAGTTCTAACAGTTTCTTAGTAGAATCCTTACCATTTTTTATATAATATATAAGATCATCTCTTTAAAATGTAATCAAGGAAAATAGCACTCCCATTCTCCAGTTCCTATGGGAGGATAGGTGCCTAATTATGTGGGGCCTCTTACTCCAAGTTATACATCTACTCCCATCTTAAACATTTGAGAAGTTTATTTTTCAAGCCAATTTGCTAACACAGACTGTCAACCTAATTACCAAATGAATTTAGGATGAATCACATGCTGTGAAGCCTTCTTACTTGAGGATTCGTTATTGTTTATCTTGAGAACATGTATTTTATGGGTTGTATCTGCTTGTCTACATAAGGTGAGATTTGCCTTTTCATTATCTTCAGTGGATTGCTTGTGATTTATGTCATATTCTGGTTTAATGCTAATTCAATAATAATGCTTAATATTTGTTCTGCCTTTGTGAAGAGGTTTCCTGGCTTGGGGGATGACTTTGTTTTTACTTATATTTCCCCAGCTATATTACATGACCTTTAATGGAATAAGGCCACGTGATAATGCCTGCTCCTATTTCTCAAGGGGAGAGCTGGCTACGTGATTATAACATATACTATAACATAATGTACTAGCCTTTTGATATTATAGACTTGGACTAGCCTAAGGCTGGTGTCCTATTCACAATGTTACTCCTTTCCTTCCTAGCCAGACTAAAATTTCCAAAACTGGTAAACGTTAGTTTCAAAATAAAATAAGAGTATTTTATCTGAAAGCTGTCATCAGTTGAAATACTTCTAAAACCTGAGAGGAAGAGTGTAAAGGCCTTCAAAACATGTTGAGTTTTGTTTATGCAGGGTTTCAAATTCTGGTCACAAGGTTGTCTTCTCACAGCCATTGAAAATAGCACTAAGTAATCACAGTTATCTTATGTGGCTTCAGATCCATTCTTAATACAGAATCACAGTATCCACCACCAATAAATCAGCATTGACTCCTCAGATAATACTTAGGTCATATTTCAGATCTTAAATGCAAGATTATTTTAGGACAAAATTAACATTTCAGGTGGGTGTCTTAATCTTTCTGGACTGCTGTAAGTTCTGAAGGCTGGGAAGCCCAAGATCAAAATACTGGCATATTTGGTGTCTAGTGAGGGCCGGCTTTCCAGTTCACAGAATGTATCTTCTTTCTGCATCCTCACAAGGTGGAAGGGGAGCTCGGGTCTCTTCAACCCCATATAAAAGCACTAATCCCATTAATAAAGGTTACACCCTCATGATCTAATCACATCTCCAAAGCCCTACCTCCTAATACTATCAAATTGGGGATCGATTTCAACAAATCAATTTTCAGTGTACGCAAACATTCAGGCCATAGAAGTAAGTTATGTTAAAATTTGTCCTTCTGTGAATTAAGCAGACAAATTGACATCCTAGAAGAAATATAAGCAAATTCATTCTGTAAAGAGCCAGAGAGCAAATGTTTTTGGCTTCATCATGTGACACACAGCCTGTATTATCTACCTAACCCTACTGTTGTATTGCAAAAACAACCAGAGACAAGCAAATGAATGGGAGTGGTTACGTTTAAATAAAATTTTATTTATAAAACAATTGGGAGGCCAGATTTGGCCTAGACGTTGTGGTTTGCTTACCACTGTCTTGCAGAATGTAACAATAGAAATTTGAGAATTATAATGGCTACCTACAATAATAATGTGGCATTATCTTTTGGAACTTAAGCTAATTTAATAGAGACTCTTTATAGACAATGGAATTATCTAAAATTGAAATTTCTCTCACCATAAGTTTTAAAATAAAGAACTGGTTTATTATACGTTCATCTTTTTGGGAAATAAAGTTCCTCCACAGAACATACAATTTGTTAAAATAAATAAATGAAATTGGAGTGACAATGCAAGCCTTTCCAGAGATTGTATCTCCCCAAAGAAATTGTGAGCTTTCAGGCATTTATTGAAAGCACATAATTACCTCCTGTGTGCCTCCATCATTTGGAGGGCTCCTTTCACTTTAAAGGCTACCTAAGTGTTGGGTTAATTATAGAGGAAATACTAGCACAATTCCACTTGTGGCTTTTACTCTGTCTTGTTCATTCTACTAACAGCAGTAGGGCGCAAATCTTATAACTCCCCCCATTTGCCTCTCTCTGAAGAGAACAGTACAGCCTGAGTTTTATCAACAGGACTGATTAGATAGCAAACAGGCTGTTTTTGCCTTTGTAAAAGTAATAGTTTAGATACATTTTTCCTGATTTTGCATTTTTTTCTTATAGTGAAGAAGACAAACATAACTTTTCTACTACTACTTCTTCCTACATAAATAATTTCACAGTTTAATTCTAGTGGAAGGGATAATGAATTTCCCATTCCTTGGATGGAGATTTGTCAGAATGGCAAATCCTCTTCTGGGGAACATGTGTCTGTAAAAAAGTCCTACAAATGTTTCAGGGTCATAAAAACAGTCCACAGATGTCCCTATAAAAGAGATGCCCCTCTGCTTCTACTTCCTCCCCATGTAGTTTTGGAGGTCAGCAGTGATCTGAGAAAAAGTCATATAGTAAGTAAGGATCAGAGTTTCCAAAGCCTATTTATTCTCACTTAATCCAATAAACTTAACTCTTTATTCTGAGCCTTCTCACTATTTAAATTCATTCATAGAAAGAGGTTTTGGAAAGACTTGGAGTCAAATATAGCTTTCTCTATTCCCTAGCTGTGTTACCTGAAAAGAATTTGTATTCTGCTGCAGTTGGGTGAAATCTCTTTCTTTCTCTCCCTCTCTCTCTCCCTCCCTCCCCTTTCTATCATACCTAGAGTGCTTTCTGCTTTCCTGACTTGATCCTGTCTAATACTCCTACCTAGCAAATACAAGAATAGATAGTAATCAGGTGAGCAAAAATTATGGTCTACTGTATGATACTTAGTAGGCACCATTACTCTGACTTTAATGAAGTGAAATTTATGAATTTTTTTCTTCTATAATTCCTCTGGAAGAGTTAAACCCTTTATCCCTTATGGCATCCAAATGACTCAGCAGTATCTCCATTACAACACTTAAGATATAGTTTTAAAATTAATCCACTTACACATCTGCATCCCCATTAAAATATGGGCCCCTTCAGGGCAGGACTTTTGTTTTTTTATGTCTACAGTACCTCACACAGTGTGTGGTTCATAATATGCAATCAGAAAATGAGAAAGTGAGGAATTCGTGGGTTGAAGGTGGAGAGAGGAGGGGAGGGGCGGCATTTCTAATCCTTCCCTTAATGATAAAGGAATATGCGAATTGAACTTAAAATATGAAGATCATTTAATGAATAATTTCAGAGACAATAATATTTAGACACCTTCTCATCTTTGTACCAAAAAGGGAGGTAGAAATATTTTTTTCTGTTTTCTATTCTAAAACTTAAATGTGCCTTTTTAAAATTACTTCAGTATGCAATTATGCTTATAGAAAGATAATTTTTATTTCAGGTAGTCAAATAATAAAATGTTAGAGTGGGAAGAAGGCAAAATCAGGACTTTAAAAAAAAAAAACAAATCCATCTCAAAAAGCATCCTGGAGATTGGAGCTCCCTTTGAGACCATTTGTAGATTCTGAAGTATCTCGAGTAAGACAGTGAATAGAAACTATGATTAAGGGCTATCTGGTCATCTCTTTCGTTTAACTGCCCTTTTCCATAGATGACCCAACTCATTCTCTGTCATCAAGAATTTAACAGGCCATCTCAAGACCTTAGCAAAATGTTAGTGTGTCAGCGTGTGTGTATGTGTGTGCATATGTGATTGTAATTAGTTAAGGAAAAAGATTTAACAAGCTTTGTGGAAGATATCTTCATTGCCTGAAAAAAAAGTCAGTAAGATGGCAAAATAGGAAGTTTCTGGCTTTTTCTCCTCCCACAGACACAGCAAATAAATGGCTACACATGGATGAATTCCCTCTGAGAGAAATTCAGAGAATACTTGAGAGACTCCTACACATGGTATCACTAAGAAATATTCACATTGAAAACAGGTAGGAGTCCAGGTGTGGTGGCTCATACTTGTAATCCCAGCACTTTGGGAGGCTGAGGTGGGAAGACTGCTTCAGACCAAGAGTCTGAGACCAGCCTGGGCAACTTAGGAAGACCCTGTCACTACAAAAAAAAATAAAAATTAACCAGGCATGGTGGGGCATGCCTATAGTCCCAGCTTTTCAGGAGGCTGAGGTGGAAGGATAACTTGAGCCTGGGAAAGTTGAGGCTATAGTGAGTCATAATGGCACCACCGCACTTCAGCCTAGGCAACAGACCCTGTCTCAAAACAAACAACAACAACAACAACAAAACAGGAAAAGCTGAGACCCACTTATGCAACAAAACCCACCCTGGTAAAGAATCTTACAATTGGAAAGGAATCCTCAACTCTCATTTTTTTCCTGAAGAGTGAAGGGTTTAGAACACATACACAGCAATCCCAGTTTTCACAGCTCCTACATGAGGGACTGGCTCCTAGGTCTCATAGCCCTGGAAACAGAAGGGGTTCAGCAATTACAAGGTCCCTGGAACTAAAGAGGTGACTTTCAATGTGTGTGTGAACATGCCCTGCTGCAATATCCCTGGGCTCAGTAAAGCACAAATAGGCAATACCCAGCTCCCAGTTTATCTTGAAAGAGGTTTAACTGAACATTTTGTCAGCTACTGTCTAAGGTCAGGCCTCTAAGCAGATGTCATCTGGAGTACAGGGAATTCATAAGATCCCCGGGAGCCTGAACAGGTGTGTGCAAACTTCATGCACCTGCTTCTCCCAGCTCACTACAATGATAAAACCAATTCTCTGGCTTCTCCCTGGAAGGAGTTGCTCAGCACATAGAGCACCCTGCCTTTTGAAGTTCCCACTAGGGAGACTGACTCCCGAATCATCCAGCTCTGGGAGTGACAGGGGTTGGCGTTAATGAGTACTCCACAATCACAGAAAACACAAAAGTAGTTTTCAACAGTTGTGGGGGGACCACCAGTGACCATTTCTCCTACATTAGCACCAAAGAAGCAGGCAAAAACACCCAGCAGCCAGTTTGTAACCGTAAAGGGTTTGACCACATACCTAATGTCACAATTTTCTCAGCAACTATCCATATGTATCTGGATTAGCCTGCATCTAGGAGCTTATTGAGTGGAGGTGGAGGGTAACTAGTAGTCCTCTGACGCCCTGTATAGGCATATGGGTACTTCCAAAGTTCCTCTGCCAGCTTGTTCCAGAGATAGAACCAAGCAGACAGCTAACCTACTTGTCTCTGACTGATAAGACCCAGAATCTTCCAGTACTATAGAAGTGACCAAGAGCGAGGCAATAGTTGGAATGGGTTTCCATTCTGAATGAGAGTGCACACATTTGCCACAGATCTTTTACCCTGTTTACTATGGAGTGAGCTAGATACAAAAGCCAGCTTCCAGCTTATCCCTGAGGAGAGAAGGGAATTAGACCACACATTTAGCACCCCAACTTTTCCAGATGCTACTTAGAGACTAGTTTCTATCTCTCCTGTCTTGGGGACACCAACGAGATTTGGAACATCCTGGGACCACAGAGAACTAAGACAGTGGTTTAAACAAGCACAAGGATTTGAGAGGCACCCAGAATCTCTGGCCAGGCTGATTGGTGAGTTCATCTTCTATATGAGGCCAGTCTGACAAGACTGGGAGAAGTGACCACTTTATCTAATGTATGGCAAACTACACAGCCAATAAAAATAAAGAAAAAGAAAGATATGTTACAAAGAAAATAAGGTAAATTTCCAGAAATGAACACTCAATGATTTACCTGGCTGAAAATTCAAAATGATAGTCATTAAGATGCTAAGTACTCAGGAGGATGAGGTGGGAGGATTGCTTGATCCTAGGAGCTTGAGGCTGCAGTGAGTCATGATTGTGCTACTGCATTATAGCCTGGGTGACAATGAGACTCTCAAAAAAAAAAAGTGCTCACTGAGATCAGGAGAACAATATATGAAAAATGTGAGTTTTTGAAGAAAGACAAAGAAAATACAAAATGGGCCACACAGAAATCATAGAACTGAAGAATACAATAGCCAAACTAAAAAATTAAACGGAGGTGTTCAACAGCAGAGTATATCAAGTAGAACAAAGAACTCAAAGATAGGTCATTGGAAATCATACAATTAGATACAACAACAACAAAAAAGAAAAAAGTGAAGGTAGCTTAAGAAACTTAAAGATCACCAAGCAGACCAATATACACATTATGGGAGCAAAGAAGAAGAGTGAGACAGAAAGGAGCCAAAAAGTTATTCAAATAAGTAACAGCTGGAAACTTTCCAAGCTAGGGGGAAATATTCAGATTCAGGAAGTCATAGAACATGAATGAAATGAATCCCAAAAGACCCATATTAAGATACATTATAATAAAATTGTTAAAAGTTAGAGCCAAAGAGAGATTTTTGGAAGCAGCAAGAGAAAAAGAGATTTGTTATATATAAGAGAATTTCTATAAGACTGTCAGCAGATTTTTCAGCAGAAACTTTATAGGCCGGAGGGAGACAGATAATATATTCAAAGTGCTTGCAGAAAATAAACCTGCCAACGAAACTACTATATCCAGATAACATGTCCTTCACAAATGAAGGAAAGAAATAATCTCTTTGACAAAAAAAACTAAGAAAAATTATCACCACTAGACTTGACTTAAAATAAATGTAAATGGAACTTTTCAACTTGAAACAAAAGTATAATAAATAAGGACTAGGAGAGCTTAAGAAGGTAGGAAACTCATTGGTAAATATATACAAATATTGAAAATACTATATTACTGTAACAGTGCTGGACAAAGGGTTTGACCACATACCTAATGTCACAATTTTCTCAGCAACTATAATTCCACTATAAAAGAGACAAAGCATTAAAACAGTTATAAATAATTGTGTTAATGGATACTTAATATAAGTAGATATAATTTGGGAAATTGATAGAATATAATGTGTCAGAGGAGGAGAAAAAACATGTGTAGAGTTCTTGTATGCAAGTAAATTTAAGCAGTTATCAGCTGAAAATAGACCACTAAAACTATTATACATTTTATGTAAGCTCCTTGGTAACTAAAACAATAATAGTTATAAAAGTTTCACAAAATAGGCCAGGAGCGGTGGCTCACGTGTGTAATCCTAGCACTTTGGGAGGCCAAGGCAGGCAGATCACCTGAAGTCAGGAGTTCAAGACCACCCTGGCCAACATGGTGAAATCCTGTCTCTACAAAAATACAAAAATTAACCTGGCATGATGGCGGTTTCCTGTAATTCCAGCTACTCGGGAGGCTGAGGTGGAAGAATCATTTGAACCCAGGAGGCAGAGGTTGCAGTCAGCCGAGATCATGCCACTGAACTCCAGCCTGGGTGACAGAGTGAGGCTCCATTTCAAAAAACAAAAAGAATCACCAGAGTCAAGAGAAAACCCACAAAATGAAATATTTGTAAGCTATGCATATGAAGAGAGGTATATATACAAAATACATATACCTGGAGGACATTATGCTAAGAGAAATAAGATAGGCACAGCCAGAAAAATACTGCACAATCACACTTACATGTAGAATCTGATAAACTTAAAGCCAGTCAAGTAGAAAGTACAATGATGCTTACCAGAGGCTGGAGTGGGAGTGGAGAGAGAGGAAAAGGAGCATTATTGATTGATGGTTACAAAGTTTCAGAAAAAAAGTAGTAATCAGTTTTTTGATCTGCTGCACAGCAGGGTAACTAGGGTCAATAATAATCATATATTTCAAAATAATTAAGAAAGTAAATTTTAAATGTATCACCATTAAAAAAGGTAAGCGAGGTTGTAGATTGTTAGATTGATTTAAACATTCCATATTGTATACATATAGCAAAACATCACGATGTTTCCCATAAATGTATACAATTATGTTTAATAAACAATATTTGGGAATTAAAATTATAAGAAAAAAGAAAAAAAAACAAAACTTAGTTGATTTCTTGAGAATATAAACAAAATCAACAAGCCCTTGCCTAGACTAAGAAATAGAGAACTGTCAAAATCAGAAACGAAATAGAGATAATATAATGGATGCCTCAGGGAAAAAATTATGAGATTGTTATGAACAATGATACACAAAAAAAGGGTAACCTAGAAGAAAGATATTCCTAGACATGTATAACCTACCAAGACTGAATCAACACAAATTAGGAGTTTGTAGTAGCAATCAAAAACCTCTCAACAAAAAACCCATGACCAGATGGCTTTATGGCTGAATTATACCAAAAATTCAAGGAGAATTAATAGGAGTCCTTCTTAAACTCTTCCAAAAAATTGCAAAAGGGAATATTTCCAAACTTTTTTATGTAAGGCCAAATACTTCCAAACTCCGTCTAATACTTCGTTATATAAGGCCAGCAAAATTCTGATACTAAAGCCATATAAAGACGCCACACACAAAAAAAATAAAACTTAAGGCCAGTGTTTATGAGAAATATAGATGCAAAAATTCTTGCAAACCGAATCCACTAATGCATCATAAAGACAATACACTATAATGGAAGAAAGATTTATCCCTAGGATACAAAGTTGATTTAACATACATAATCAATACATTTGTTACACAACATGAACAGAATGAAGGATATAAAGCACATGATAGGCCAGGCATGGTGGCTCATGTCTGTAATTGCAGCACTCTGGGATGTCAATGCAGATGGATTGCTTGAGCCCAGGCATTTGAGACCAGCCTGGGCAACAGGGTAAAACCCTGTCTCTACAAAAATTACAAAAATTACCTAGGCATGGTGGCATGTGTCCGTATTCCCAGCTACTAGGGAGGCTGAGGTGGTAATGTCACTTTAGCCCAAAAGGTGGAGGTTGCAGTTTGCCAAGATTGTGCCACTGCACTTCAGCCTGGGTGATAGAGTGAGACCCTGAAGAAAGAAAAAAGGAAGGAAGAGAAGGAAGGAAGGAAAGAAGGACAAATTGTTTCAATAGATGCAGAAAAAGCATGTGAAAAAGCTGAACATTCGTTCATGACAAAATCTCTCAACAAAATAAGTATAGAAAGAAACTTCCTCAACATAATAAGTCTACTTATGAAAAGCCCACAGCTAACATCATAATCAATGGGAGAAACAACGAACTTTTCTTCTAAAATTAAGAATAAAACAAGGATGCCTGTAATCCCAGCACTGTGGGAGGCTGAGGCAGGTAGATCACTTGAAGTCAGGATTTTGAGACCAGCCTGGCCAACATGATGAAACCCTGTCCTTACTAAAAGTATGAAAATTAGGTGGGCAGGATGGTACATGCCTGTAATCTCAGCTACTCCAGAGGCTGAGGCGAGAGCATCATTTGAGCCTGGGAGGTGGAGGTTGCAGGGAGCTGAGGTTGCAGCACTGCTCTCTGGACTGGGTGACAGAGCGAGACTCTGTCTCAAAAATAAACAGAAAAGAAAAAAACAAGGATGCCTATTCTCACAACTTCTTTTCAATATAGTACTGAGAGAACTAGGCAGAACAATTGGACAAAAAATAAAAATAAAATGCATTTAATTTGGAAAGGAAGAAGTAAATGTATCGTTGATTGCAGAAGACATAATCCTATATCTAGACAACCTTAAAGACTCTATACATACACAAACACACAAACTGTTAGAACTAATAAACAAATTCAGGAATGATGCAGGATACAAAATTAACAAAAAAATTACTTATATTATTTTACACCAATAATGACCTATCCAAAAAGCAAATAAAGAAAACAATCCTATTTACTACAGCATGAAAAAGAATAAAATTCAATAAATATTAAGGTATTCAAAAAATAAAAATAATAGCTTTAACCAAGGAAGTGGAAGACCTGTACCCTTAAAACTATGAAACATTGATAAATAATTTGAAGAATAAATGCAAAGATAACCTATGTTCATGGATTAGAAGAATTAATATGGTTAAAATGTCTATACTACTTAATGTAATATACAGATTCTTATTTTATTTATTTATTTATTTATTTATTTATTTATTTATTGAGATGGAGTCTTACTCTGTCACCCAGGCTGGAGTGCAATGGCACCATCTCCTCTCATTGCAACCTCCACCTCCTCGGTTCAAGCAATTCTCCTGCCTCAGCCTCCCAAGTAGCTGGGATTACAGGAGTGCACCACCATGCCCAGCTAATTTTTTGTATTTTTAGTAGAGACAGGGTTTCATCATGTTGGCCAGGCTGGTCTCAAACTCCTGACCTTGTGATCCATCCACCTCAGCCTCCCAAAGTGCTAGGATTACAGGTGTGAGCCACTGTGTCTGGCCGAATATACAGATTCAATGCAACCACTATCAAAATATCAATGGCATTTTTAACAGAAATTGAAAAAATTCTATAATTTGTATAAAACTACAAAAGACCCAGATTGGCTAAAGCAATCTTGAGAAAGGAGAACAAAGTTGGAAGCAACATATTTCCTGATTTCAAATTATGTTAAAAAGATATATTAATTAAAACAGCATGGTACTGGCATGAAAACAGACACAAACACCAATAAAACACGATAGAGAGCCCAGAAATAATCCCACACATACGTGGTCAACTAATTTTTGACAAAGACACCAATAACGCACAATGGGAAAATTAATGATGTTGAGAAAACTGGCTATGCACAAGTACAAAATTAAATTATGTAATAATATGCATAAAAGTCAGCTAAAAATGGATTCAAGACTTAACCATAAAACCTGAAGTCATAAAACTCCCAGAAGAAAACATATTGAAAAAATTCTTTGACATTGGCCTTGGCAATTATATTTTCGATATCACACAAAAACCTCAGGCAACAAAAGCAAAAATAAACATATAGGACTGTATCATACTTAAAAAGTGACTGCACAGTGAAATAAAAAATTAACAAAAGTGAAAAAGCAGCCTACAAATTGGGAGAAAATATTTGCAAATCATATATCTAATGTTACTGAATGTAGGCCTGGCTGCTTGCCTCTTGCAAAGCCAATAAGAAGCACAAGATACAGTGAAAGGAAAGTGGTTTTATTCCAAGCTGCCATTGGGGAAACAGCCAGTCTCATACCTAGAGAAACTGTTTCAAACTCTATGCTGGGAGATGGGCATAAAAAAGGGAACTTGGGAGAAGATTTTTGCAATCTACTCAACTGACAGAGGGCTAATATCAAAAATCTACAAAGAACTCAAACAAACTTACAAGAAAAAAACAACCCCATCAAGTGGGCAAAGGATATGAACAGACACTTCTCAAAAGAAGACATTTATGCAGCCAACAGATACGTGAAAAAATGCTCATCAACAGATACATGAAAAAATGGCCATCAGAGAAATGCAAATCAAAACCACAATGAGATACCATATCACACCAGTTAGAATGGCAATCATTAAAAAGTCAGGAAACAACAGGTGCTGGAGAGGATGTGGAGAAATAGGAATACTTTTACACTGTTGGTGGGACTGTAAACTAGTTCAACCATTGTAGAAGACAGTGTGGCGATTCCTCAAGGATCTTGAACTAGAAATACCATTTGACCCAGCCATCCCATTACTGGGTATATACCCAAAGGATTATAAATCATGCTGCTATGAAGACACATGCACACGTATGTTTATTGCAGCACCATTCACAATAGCAAAGACTTGGAACCAACCCAAATGTCCATCAATGATAGACTGGATTAAGAAAATGTGGCACATATACACCATGGAATACTATGCAGCCATAAAAAAGGATGAGTTCATGTCCTTTGTAGGGACATGGATGAAGCTGGAAACCATCATTCCCAGCAAACTATCACAGGGACAAGAAACCAAACACCGCATATTCTCACTTATAGGTGGGAACTGAACAATGAGAACACTTGGACACAGGAAAGGGAATATCACACACTGGGGCCTGTCATGGGGTGGCGGGAAGTGGGGAGGGATAGCATTAGGAGATATACCTAATGTAAATAACGAGTTAATGGGTGCAGCATACCAACATGGCACATGTATACATATGTAACAAACCTGCACGTTGTGCACATGTACCCTAGGAACTTGGCGCATGTATACATATGTAACAAACCTGCACGTTGTGCCCATATACCCTAGAACTTATAGTATAATTTAAAACAGGAAAAAAAAAAAGGGAACTTGGAATGGGAGGCATGCAGGCTGTTGGGTACAAGGACTATGAATCTTGTTCTTGTGGCTCTCAGCATGGACTAGTGTCATCTTAACAATGACTAAGTTGCAGACTAACCACCTTAAGGTAATCTCTTGAATTTTGCGTTTGGGTCTACACATCTGGTTTATCTCAAGATTATCCACCAGAACATAAGGTCACAACTAGACACAAAGCATACAGTTAGAAAAATGTACATGGGACAATGGGGTGTATGAAGAGAAAGGGAAGGATGTGGTATTTCAAAGAAAGTATATTTCAAGGCCATATTTTAAAAATAAGGAGAGAAATGAAATGATTTATCTAGTAAAGTTACACCTTGAGAAAAGAGAGAAAAGAGAAAAAATGTTTTAAAATGCATTTTGAAGCTAAGCTCCTCGGTTACAATAACAAGCTAATACCCAAAATATAAAAGAAACAAGTGCAACTCAATAGCTAAATTATCACATAATCAACATGTTTAAAAAATGGGCAAATGTGGGTGACGGTTATACTAAAAGCCTATACTTCATAACCATGCAAAACAGTCACATAACAAAAATCACTCTAGTACCCCTTAAATTAATACCAATCTCTAAAAATGTGCAGAAGATCTGAATAGCCATTTCCCAAAAGAAAGCACACACTGGCCACCGGGTGAATGAAAAGTTGTTTGTCATCAATAATCAGGGAAGTACGAATCAAGAGCACAATGAGATTTCACTTTGCACCTGTTAGGATGGCTCTTAACAATATAAAAGATTAGTGTTGGTGAGAGTATGGAGAAATGGAAACCCTTGTACACTGTTGATGAGAGTGTAAACTGGTTACGGGCATTATGAAAAACAAATGGAGGTTCCTCAAAAAACTAAAAATAAAACCATCATATGACGCATACATATCCTACTTCTCAGTATATAATCAAAGGAAGTGAAATCAGGATTGCATTGAAATAGCTATGCTCCCATGTTTACTGCAGCATTTTTCACAACAGGCAAGCTGTGAAAACAACCCTAATGTCCATCAACAGATGAATAAAGAAATTGAGGTAAATACATACAGGGAATATTATTCAGCTTTAAAAGGAGATTTTGTCATTTGCAGCAATATGAATGATCCGAGATGACATTTTGCTAAGTGAAATAATCCAGACACAGAAAGAAAGGTTGTGCATGATCTCACTTATAAGTGGAGTCTTTAAAAATTCAATACATAGTAATAGAGATTATAAGGGTATTCACCAGTAGAGAGAAGAGTGAGGATGGGGAGATGTTGGTCAAAGCTTACAAAGTTTCCATAGTGTAGCATGAATAATCTACAGGTTTAATTTACAGTATGATGACTATAGTTAGTAACAATGTTATATTTTGAAAATATGCCAATAGAACAGATTTCAGGTGCCCTTACCACAAAATAATAAAAAAGGGAATTATGTGAATAAATGGATGTTAATTAGCTTGATTTTAGTAGTCATTTCTCATATATATGTACATTAAAAAATCATGCTTTATACATCAAATATATATAACGAAATTTTTTTACAAATGCAGGAAGATATGTTCACCTCACTTCTGCTTTCCAACCTATTGTGAGCAATATCTAATTGGATCAATGAAACTTGTACCCAGAACCTTAATTATAAGGAAGTCTGATAAATCTAGCCTTATGCTTTAAGCATTCTAATCTCTACAACACAACAAAGCACATAGAAGACAGTAGAATATGGATTCCAAGTGTCAGTAGACAATATCTAGCACATCTTAAAAATTACATGTCATCTATAACGGTATAATACCAATATTTTACACATTTCAATTCTAATCTTTTGTTTTCACCTGGTTACACGACTATAATTAATTAGCAATCTCAATTGACATCTTGACACAACATTGCATCTTTCTAAAGGTAATATAATTATTCAGAAGAATATGCTATTTATTTCTATGTGCTACATTTTTAAATTTTACCTATAAATAGAAGGTGAAACCATCTATGCTTGAGTAAGAATTATGGCAAAAAATACTCTTTCCAAATTTTTATTCTTCTTTTATTCCTTAAAAGATAACTGTAGCTAAACACATTGCTGCTAACCCAGACCATAGTAGCCAGCCTGTCTTGCAGCTAAGTGTGGTCATATCAGCTCAGTGATACGGAAGTAGAAATGTATAATTCTTCCAAGGTGTGCCTATCTACACCCTTTCTCTGTATAGTTGCCTGAAACTTGCATGTGACAACCAGAGCTAGCACTACCAATCGTATTGGGTTGAGAATAACAAACCCATGCCCAGAGAATGTTGAATAGTGAGTTGGAAGGTGTTTGAGTCTCTGATAAGAGGCTATCATTTTGTTGTTGTTGTTGTTCCAATATTCTCAAAAAAGAAGTCTATAATATTTGAAACTTAAATCTTGCTTTTGTTTTTAGGCCCAATTTAAAATTTCTCTTATCATGTAATCCTCGGAAGCTAACCCAAATCAGAGACTTGCTTAGGACTATCCTGCAGTACATAAAGCACTATCTAAAAACCTGTAAAAACTGCCACAAACTTACACATTACATGAGCTATTCAGTCATTCATTTCTTGACTTGTTCTTTTAGACAGCAACTGTGTATTAAGAGCAACAATACGACAGGCATTGCACTGTGCTGCAGCCATACACATACATCTGAAGCACCACCTGAAAAGTATTGTATTTAAGATTATGATTCTTTTCTAAGCTATCAAAGTGTGCAACCTAAGACTGTCATATTTGTAAGGACCATACAAATCATATACTCCTTTATTGAAGGTTAGTTTTATTTAAAACATTCTTAAGATTCAAAGTACTATCAGAAACATCCACCTTATCTGAGTGCCTAGAACCTCAAATCCCCTTCCGTAAATTCTGTTGTCTGGGATAAATATATTCTGCTGTTACACTATCTCAAAGATTAGTAAAGAACTGAATTCTAGATTGATGTGCCAAACCTATGTGTCAACGCAGAGAAAAGTTGGGAATTTGTGGAACGAAAGGCCAGCTTGGGAACAAAGTTATTGGCATCAAGGGCAGATTGGCCCCAAACAATTCAATGGAGAAGAAACAGTTGAAACATTTTTCTTTCTTTACAATTTTGTGGATGACTGATTGTTGCAGTTTCACATATGATTAATTAGTTTCCACAATGTAAAACTCAAGGACAGGAGCTTTTACCATCGGAGAAATTCATTTACTTAAGGATGAGGAGCTTTCGTTGTTATATTTTTGTGTTAGTCCATTTTACACTGCTGATAAAGACATATCCAGGAATGGGCAGTTTACAAAAGAAGGAAGTTTAATTGGACTTACAGTTCCATGTGGCTGGGGAAGCCTCACAATTATGGCAGAAAGCAAGGAGCAAGTCATGTCATACATGGACGGCAGCAAGCAGAGAGATAGCTTGTGCAGGGGGACTCCTCTTTTTAAAACAAACAAATCTCATGAGACTTATTCACTATCATGAGAACAGCATGGGAAAGACTTGCCCCAATGATTCAATTAACCCCCACTGCGCCCCTCCCACAACAAATGGAAATTCAAGATGAGATTTGGATGGGGACACAGCCAAACCATATCATTCCACACCTGGCCTCTCCCAAATCTCACATTCTTGTCCTCACATTTCAAAACCAATCATACCTTCCCAACAGTCCCCCAAAGTCTTAATTCATTTTAGCATTAACTCAAAAGTCCACAGTCAAAACTCTCATCTGAGACAAGACAAGTCCTTTTCACCTATGAGACTGTATAATCAAAAGCAGGTTACTTTCTAGATACAGTGAAAGTACAGGCATTGGGTAAACACAGCCATTCCAAATGGGAGAAATGGTCTGAAACAAAGGGGCTACAGGCCCTAGGCAATTCTGAAATCCAGCAGGACAGTCAAATCTTAAAGTTCCAAAATGATCTCTTTTGACTCCAGGTCTCACATCCAGGTCACGCTGATGCAAGAGATGGTTCCTATGGTCTTGGGCAGCTCTGGCCCTGCAGGGGGTACAGCCTCCCTCCTGGCTTCTTTCATGAGCTGGTGTTTAGTGTCTGTGGCTTTTCCAGGTGCACAGTGCAAGAAATTCAAGCGGATCTACCATTACGGTGTCTGTAGAATGGTGGCCCTCTTCTCACAGCCCCACTAGGTAGTGTTGCAGTAAGGACTCTGTGTGGGGGCTCTGACCCCAGAGTTTCCTTCTGCACTGCCCTAGCAGAGGTTCTCCATGAGGGCCCCACCCCTGCAGCAAACTTCTGCCTAGGCATCCAGGTGTTCCCATACATCCTCTGAAATCTAGGAGGAGGTTCCCAAACCTTCATTCTTGACTTCTGTATGCTTGCAGGTTCAATACCACATGCAAGCTGCCAAGGCTTGGGACTTGCACCCTCTGAAGTCATGGCCTGAGCTCTACATTGGACCCTTTCAGCCACAGCCAGAGCTGCTGGGACACAGGGCAGCAAGTCTCTAGACTGCACACAGCATGGGGACCCTGGGCCCGGCCCATGAAACCACTTTTTCCTCTAGCCCTTCAGGCCTGTGATGGGAGGCGCTGCTGTGAAGACCTCTGACATGCCCTGGAAACATTTTCCCCTTTGTCTTGGGGATTAACTTCCAGCTTTCATTACTTATGTAATTTCTGTAGCTGGCTTGAATTTCTTAGAAAATGAGATTTTCTTTTCTATTGCATTGTCAGGCTGCAAATTTTCTGAACTTTTATGCTCTGCTTCCCTTATAAAACAGAACACCTTTAGCAGCACCCAAGTCACCTCTTGGATGATTTGCTGCTTAGAAATTTCTTCTGCAAGATACCCTAAATCATCTCTCTCAAGTTCAAAGTTCTGCAAATTTCTACGGCGAGGGCAAAATGCCAACAGTCTATTTGCTAATACGTGACAGGAGTCACCTTTGCTCCAGTTCCCAACAAGTTCCTCATTTCCATCTGAGACCACCTCAGCCTGGAGTTTATTGTCCATGTCACTATCAGCATTTTGAGCAAAGCCATTCAACAAGTCTCTACGAAGTTCCAAACTTTCTCACATTTTCCTGTCTTCTTCTGAGCCCTCTGAACTGTTTCAACCTCTGCCTGTTACCGAGTTCCAAAATCACTTCAACATTTTCAGGTATCTTTTCAGCAGCACACCACTCTACTGGTACCAATTTACTGTATTAGTGTTTCCATGCTGCTGATAAAGACATACCCAAGACTGGGCAATTTCAAAAAAAAAAAAAAAAAAAAAAGGTTTAATTGGACTTACAGTTCCACATGGCTGGGGGAAGATTCACACATCATGGCAGAAGGCCATGGAGGAGCAAGTTACATCTTACAGGGATGGCAGCAGGTAAGAAGAGAGCTTGTGCAGGGGAACTCCTCTTATAAATACCATCAGATCTCTTGAGACTTATTCACTATCAGGAGAACAGCACAGAAAAGACTTGCCCCTGTGATTCAATTACTGGGTCCCTCCTACAACATGTGGGAATTCCAGATGAGATTTTGGTGGGGATATAGCCAAACTATATCAATTTTTAAAATTAAGAACTGTGTTTATGTAGCTATATATTTTGGGTGCCTATGACTCCACAAAGTTAAAATCTCTATACAGATATTTTGTGTAGTCAAAGCAGAGATGATACAGACTTCTTTTTTTTATCTGCAATGACTTCATGTCTAGATCTTCAGAACTACACTTATTTTTAAAGTAAACAATGATAAAAGCCTAGCAAGAACCTAGAAGATAAATGATCTCCTAAGAGAGTTACAGAAGGCATTACTCTATCATAGAGCTGACAGGATGCCTCTGTTAACTGAAAATGACAGGCAGAAGGAGACGTTTGCAACACATAGTGAGTCACAGCCCTTAAAGTCATCGATGCAGGGACAACTTAAGCCTGATGAGACAGAGCCTTTATGTAAGTTCAAAGCTGTATCCTCCAAGGATTGCTGTTCATATTGACTGACACCTGAAACATGCGGATCAACACTGGAACTTTGTAGAGATGAAAACAGAAGGCAGATGGGAAGCTAAATGACAAACTGAATTAGTGGCATGTGCCATATATTCAGTTTCCTGGAGACACAAAACCCTTGTAATACAAGATTATAAATCTTTAGCCCTGAAGGGAGGAGATTTATAAAATCATTATGTGGGGAAAAATCAATGATTCAATGTAGCAAATGCCAGAATACTTATTATGTAAACACTTTAATCAATATTTTAAAGACAGTATGGTTCTAAATATTGGGAACCTTTACAAATACATAGCTTTTGTTGTTTTTATTTACCTATTATTGCAGCTTTTGTAACAATTGGTGTTCTTTGTTGTCATATAACACATGACTATTACACTTACATATAATGAACCACAAGTCACACAGCCATATCTGAGTTCAGTGGAAATGGAAACAACAAACTTACAACATAACTGGAAGCAAATATATGACAGGCCAGGTGCAGTGGCTCATGGCTCATGCCTGTAAGCCCAGCACTTTGGGACGCCGAAGTGGATGAATCATGAGCCCAGGAGTTCGAGACCAGCCTGGGCAACATGGTGAAATCTTGTTTCTACAAGAAATATAAAATTTAGCTGGGTGTGGTTGCATACACCTGTTGTCCTAGTTACTTAGGAGGCTAAGGCAGGAGATCATTTGAGCTCGGGAGGTTGAGGCTAGCTACACTGAGATCATGCCACTGCACTCCAGCCTGGGTGATACAGTGAGACCTTAACTCAAAAAAAAAAAAAAAAAAGAAAATGTAAGACAAAATAAATATTTGTGAAGGGACATAATGGCTACTGCAAATTGTATCTAACTTTCAATGAGGAATGAAAACCTAGCAACACAAAATGAAAACAAAACAATTTTTCAAGTATTTCTAAGTTAAATAGGATTGTATAAAATATTTATAATTGTTTACACATAGAGAAAAAGAAAAATGAAAAATTACCTATAACATTGTCTAGAGAAAACTTTAATAATTTTTAGTTTTTCTATCATGTAAAATGTATCAGTTTATTTACCCAATCTCTTTATCTGTTTTTAATTTTTTCCTAAACATAAAACTTATGTGTGTCATATGAACATGTAAATATGAATACTTCAATACATCAAAAATGTATAATTGCAAATTATCACAAAAGGAAAACAAATACTTATACATGCTAATTTTTACTGACTGTTATATCATTTACTTAAGACAGAGAAAAAGGTATATTTTTACATATATAATACTAATAGTTTCATATCAAATGTAGTAATTTATGTTCTGATTTATTTTCATGTTAATTACGGTTGTTTAAAAACAATGTTTAACAGAAGCATTACTCTACAGTATAGATGTATAACTTATTTGATGATCAGGTTTTCTTTTTCATCTTTCCTTTTTTTTTTTTTTTTTTTTTTTTTTTTGAGACAGAGTCTACTCTGTAATGAAGACTAAAGTGCGTGGTGCAATCACAGCTCACTGCAGCCTGGATCTCCCTAACTCAAGTGATCCTCCCCCATCTTAGCTTCCTAAGTAATTGAGACTACAGGAATGAACCACCACACTTTATTAATTTTTTATTTTTGTAGAAACAGGGTCTCACTATGTTACCCATGCTGCTCTCGAACTCTTGGCCTCAAGTGATCCTCCCACCTCAGCCTCCCAAAGGGCTGGAGTTACAAGCGTAAGCTGCTGTGCATAGCCTTAATCAGTGTCTTACTCTTACACACATTTCTTCAAACTTTATAAGTAACACTGTTATAATGATTAGAAACGTACTATAATTTGATGACAAAAAATTCACGGTCATTTATTGTTCACTCTTGTATCCCACACAAATCCTTCATCCATTTCTCTAATAATTTTCTATGGTCAATTGTTAATGCAGAATTATCGCAATCAAATGGTAACAACATTATATATGTTTAATTGGCTTTTAAAAAATGTATTCGTAATTTAAATATCATTGTGAAAATGTTGATTTTATATTAACTCTGAATATAGGTATTATATTTAAAATGTTTTCCATCCCAAAATATTTTGAGTTATATAATTTTATTTTTTCCTTTATTATTATACTTTAAGTTCTAGGGTACATGTGCACAACGTGCAGGTTTGTTACATATGTATACATGTGCCATGTTGGTGTGCTGCACCCATTAACTCGTCATTTACATTAGGTGTATCTCCCAATGCTATCCCTTCCCCCTCCCCCCACCCCCACGACAGGCCCCATTGTGTGATGTTCCCTTTCCTGTGTCCAAGTGTTCTCATTGTTCAGTTCCCACCTATGAGTGAGAATATGCGGTGTTTTTTTGTCCTTGCGATAGTTTGCTGAGAGTTATATAATTTTAAAGTATTGTTTTAATTAACATATCTTTGAAAACAACTAAAATTGAGGATTGTCAAATTGTCCTATATTTTTCGTTGTTTGGTTTCCCCTGATTTAAAATGTACTATACTAACGTCAGTTTTTTGTATATTAGCCCACTTAGATCTAAAGTAATTATTAGATTAAGGCTTAAGTCAGCCATTCTAATTTTGTGTTTACTGCTTGGTCTTTTAGTTTTTTCTTCTTCTTTTTTTTTTCTCTACATTTCTATGGCGTTAAACATTTTAAAGATTTTTTTAAAATTTATCACCGTGGTTGGGAGTGTATTTCTTTCTATAGCTTTCTTTTAGTAGTTGCTCTATTGATTACATTACATATTCATAGCATAAAACAGTCTCCTAGTGTTATTTTGCCAGTTCAATGTAGAAACAAACCTATATATCCATTATCTTTGCCATTTATAATAAAATAGCTTTAAATATTTCCTTTGTATATATTTAGAACCACATCAGTGTTGTAATTTTTGCTTCAACAGTCAAACATAATTTAGAAAATTCAAGAGGAGGAAGAGTTTATATTTAACCATGTTTTTGCTTCCCAGGTACTTTCTTCCTTTTTGTTATTACAAAATTCCTACTATTGTTTTCTTTATACACAGATAAATTCTTTTAGCTACTCTTAGGGTAGGTCTTCTACTGATGACAGATTTTCTTAGGTTTTCTGTATCTGAAAATGTCTGAATGAGAAAAGAAAATTCCACCACCAATATGAAAAAGATGTTAGAATTATCTGAGGAAGATTTTAAAACACATTAAAAATCTGCTTAAACAGATCACTCTTTAATTTCTGAAGGACATTTTCACTGGATATAGGATTTGGGGTTGCAGTTCCTCACTTTTCAACAGTTGAAAATGCTGTCCCACTTTTTTCTGGCATCCAGGTTTCTGAAGAGGAATTCTTTGTCAGGTGTATTTTTTTTCTTTCATAAGTATGATGATATTTCTCTCAGTGATTTCATGGTATTTTCTTTGTCTTTAGTTTCCAGATACTTGACTATGATGTATCTTGGCATATTTTCTTGGCTCTATTGCATTTGGAGTTCACTTAGGTTCCTGAATTTGTAAATTTATGCCTTTTGCCAAATTTGATAACTTATTAGGCACTGTTTCCTTGAGTACTTTTTTCAGTCTTCCCTCATTCTTCTCTCCTCCCAGGATTATTATGACACAAAATGTTACATTTTTTATTATAGCCCCACAGAGCTATAAGGCTCTGTTCAATTTTTGTCTTTTTTTCTCTATTGTTCAGACTGGGTAATTTATTCTTTCTGTCTTCCAGTTCACTGATTCTTTCCTCTGTCTCTTTCAATTTGCATAGGCATCTATAATTGAGGGTTTTTGGTTTTAATTTTTATTTTGGTTGCTACATTTTTTGATTCTCGAATTCCTTTTTTTCTTCTTTATATCTTCTCTATTTGTCAAGCCTTTATTTCTTTGCTAAAACTTTATTTTTTCTTTTGATTCAAGTATGTTTGTAAATGCTCATTGAAGCACTTTTATGATGGCTGCTTTAAAATCTCAGATAATTATAATATCTCTGTCATCTTGATCATAGAATTTATTATTTTTTTTCATTCAGTTTGAGGTCTTCCTGGTTCTTGGTATAATGAGTGATATCAATTTAAACCCATACTATTTATTATTTTACAAGATTCTAGATCTTATGTAAAAACTTATGTTTCTAGCTGATTTTCTCTGACACTGCTGTAATAGTGGCAGGGGTAGGGCACCAACTCATTACTGTTAGGAAAAGGTAAAATTCAGGTCCCCACTGGGTTTCAGTTGAGCCCATTATCCACCCAGCCTGGACCACCAAAATATCCCAGTAATAGATGAGGGTAGAAATTCTGACTCCTCTCTAGGCTTCTGTTGATAGTGTCCTGGCTGGGAGGGACAGAAAGGCTTCATTATTACGCCCAAGTGGTTTCCACAGACACAGTGGTGAGGGTGGTCTTGTTACTCCTGGGATTGATGAGAATTCTGCCTTTCTTCTAGTTGTCCTCTGGTATCCCCCTGGCAGAGAGAAAAAGGGGTGTCTTATTACTGCTGGCTGGAGCCTATGTCCCTGCTCCCACCATGGTCTTTGCTGACATTCCTTGAGTGTAATGGAGATCTTGTTACTGCTCAGTGAAAATGAAAGTCTCAGCTCCCTACTCAGTCTTTTCTGACACCATCCACAGGAAGGGGAAGAAGTAGCCAGTTCATTACTCTCTGGAAGTTGAGACCTCCTCCATTAGATCTTTGCAGGCATGGGTGGGGGTGATGGCAACAGTTTTTACAGTGGTATTTGGAGTAGAGCAGTTTACAGTCTAAACATTTACTGCATGACTAGGCTTCCTCTCTTCCTCTCCTTGACTAGAGAGAGCAGATTTTGTCAGGACTTAAAAACAAAAAAACAAACAAAAAAAACAAAAACTGTGTCCATTAGTGTTTGAGTTGCTGGCTTGAGTTCCAATCTTAGATATATAAGGAAAGCCAAGGAATGTACCACCATGTCACTCCTTGTGTCCTGATGTCTCTACCCAGCCTGCCTCATCTCTTTATCTTTCATGGTTGTATTATATCTGCTATGTTATGTGCTGGTATTTATGGGAGCAATAGAGAAAAGTATGCCTATGACATCTTCCCAGAATTGGAAGCAATCTGTATCTTCTTACATCCTTAATACTGGGTTTTCCTAATCACAGTAGAGTTGGTAATTTGTTTGGCTGATAATATTTGCTTCATTCCAGCATAGCTGAAATGAGGGAAATGTGTGCTGCCTTTTTTAAGGGAGTTTGAATTTTGAATGCAAGCTCATATTTTCAAATGTTAATTTTACCTCTATGATATTTGCTAAAATAGTTGTGCTGGTTTTGTTTCATACCACAGTTATGGAAACAGTTCACATTCATAGTAGATAATTAGAAGGTAACTATATGGTGGCAAGGTCTTCTAAAAGTAGAATAAATAATGTTTTCTTTCCACAGCCTTTGAAAATTTAAATGTAAATGGCTTCTTTAATTCAAATACTTATAATGTGAACTGTATAAATATGGACAATGACAGATTCGTACTGCTTTTCTCATTTGCATTTGAGACACTTCAGCAACTTTCTCCCCCATTTACTTGAGGCCATTAGCAGCAAACTGCAAAGACAGGATAAAAGTCACTAATTAAGCATCTGCATACCCTTAGTCAGGACCATAATATTATGATGACAATTATTAGATATTCTTTGTGGATCCTAGACATTCAAAGAGGAATTATATACAGAATTTGTACTATATATAATGTTAAAAGGAATGGGAGGAAAAAGCCTCTCAAAGATTGCAAACATGTCTCTAGTTTTAAGATAACTTTTTAAAAGACTAATTTTGTTAGAGAGTGAGAGATATTTCAAACTTCCTTATCTCTTTCCTGAAAGGGGGTCTCATTTTGGAGCCTATCTTTATGAGTAAATAAGGCAAATCAAAAGTATCACCAGTTCCCTATTTCACTGTTCACTCATTCAATAGAACTTTTTTGCCATCTCCTGTAAAAGGAGAACAGAATCAAGACAATGGGATAGAAAAAAGCAAAGTAAACTGAGTTGCCAACTTATGAGCTCACCTGTCTCCATTTCTCCCTGTGAGGGATGGATTTGTGGAGGTGGGTTAGGCCTCAATCTCAGAAACATGTTGGCTCAGATCCCCAGTTGATTGCTCATGTTTTGCATCAATGCAGACAAATAATTTAGATTTAGGTTCTCATTCTGCAGGAAGTTATTACCTAAAGTGCAGGTAAGTGTAAAGATAATATAAAGGAGTGTAAGTAAAGAAACTGACATATTTCCTAAATAAGGTGTCATATAATCATACTTATTGATATTACTATTATCTATATATTTGAAGTCTATTCAGTTTTTATATTTCACAATAAGCATTGAGCTGCTTAAGGGAAGAGGTCAAGAATTATTCACTTTTGAATCCCTAGCTCCCAGTACAGCGCCCAAAACATAGCAAATGTTCAGCACATGATTATTATTGTCAATACTACCCCTTCAACCCAACATGTTATGGTTCTAATTTGTTCATTAAAGCATTAGTAAATATGTACAAGTAATATCTTAAAATTTGTGTAGAGTATAAAGAATAAGAATATGAAGAATATTTAAGTACTCACCTTCCAATTTAAAGAAATCAAACACAATTACCTGAGGCTCTATGTGCCCCCCACCCCCCCTCCCACCAGATCCTTTGCTCTTTTCTCTCTTCTCGGAGGTAATCAAAATTATAAAAGAATCTTCATCCCTTTGTTCTTATTTCTAGCTTTAATAAATACATTTATAACCTTAAAATATTTTTTGTTTTTTATAAGTTTATGAAATTTTGTTAAGTGGAACCAACCTGTATTCTTCTGTGATTTTTTTGTTGTTGTTGTTTGAGACAGGGTCTCACTCTGTCACCCAAGCTGGTGTGTAGTGGCATGATCTTAGCTCACTGCAACCTCCACTCCCGGGTTCAAACGATCCTCCCATTTTAGCCTCTCAAGTAGCTGGGACTACAGCTATATGCCACAACACCACCCAGCTAATTTTTGTATTTTTTGGTAGAGATGGTGTTTCACCGTGTTGGCTAGGCTGGTCTCAAACTCGTGACCTCAAGTGATCTGCCCACCTCAGCCTCCAAAAGTGCTGAGATTTCAGGATTGAACCATCATGCTTGGCCTGTGAATTTTTTTTTTTTTCTTTTTGGCAGTCTTTGTTGCTCAGGATGGAGTGCAGTGGTGTGATCACAGCTCACTGCAGTCCCGATCTCCCAGGCTCAAGCAATCCTTCTGCCGCAGCATCCCAAGTAGCTGAGACAATAGATGCATACTACCATACATGGCTAATTTTCAATTTTTTAAAAATAGAGACAGTCTCACTGTTTTGCCCAGGCTGGTCTCATACTCCTGGAATCAAGCAGTTCTTCCACTTCAGCCTTCCAAAGTGTTGGGATTACAGGAGTGAGCCACCATGCCCAAATTTTTGTTTTTATAAGACATTATACCTGATATTTACCTATATTACATGTAACTATCATTTCTTTGTAAATATATAACTGCAATATTCCATCACGTGACTGTATTACAATTTATTCATTCTAATGGCTTTAGAATTTCTCTATATTAAAATAAAAATCAACAAAGATATGAACATGCTCATGTGTACAAATTCATTTACCTAAGTGTGTAATGTTTAGATCATAATATATATCCAAATGAATTACATGGTTTTATGTTTTTACAAATCTTGTTTTGACAATGAAAAATGAACTACCACAGGAATTATTCATCTGTCATAAGCAACTATAAAACCAGAGAAAATATATAAGTATCAATTTTCAATCAACTGACAACAGGTAACAGAATACTACAATCTCTGAGGGAAGGGAAACAAATTAAGCGAGCCATAGTTGTTGACTGCAGGAATATTCCAGGTCACAGCAGTGGAAGGAGGAAGAAAAACAGAGCACAACAATCTTAGTGAGTTGATGAGATGTAGATCAAGTTTAGAGAGTCAAACAGCTGGAATTTTTAGAGTAGACTCAGAATTTCAGAGATAAGGATATATGTCTTTTTGATTCCTTTGAGTCTAAATGAGAGAGGAAATTACCTGAGGTCAAGGTTAAGAACTACGAGAAAACAGCAGACCAAACAACGCACAATCATTATAAAAACTGAGATTAGGCCGGGTGTGGTGGTCCCGTCTGTAATCCCAGCAATTTGAAAGGTTGAGGCGGGCAGATCACGAGGTCAAGAGATCGAGACCATCCGGGTCAACATGGTGAAACTCAATCTCTACTAAAAGTAAAAAAAAAAAAAAAAAAAGTTAGCTGGATGTGGTGGCGTGTGCCTGTAGTCCCAGCTACTTGGGAGGCTGAGCCAGGAGAATCGCTTGAACCCGGGAGGCAGAGGTTGCAGTGAGCCAAGATTGCACCACTGCACTCCAGCCTGGCGACAGAGCAAAACTCTGTCGAAGGGAGAAAAAAAAAAAAAAAAAAAAAAAAAAAAATCTGAGATTAATTTGTGTTCTTGCTTGCCAGAGCTGTCATTGTTTAGAATGCACAGACTGGTCATACCCTACCAGTGGTCCTAAATTAGTCTTATAAGAAAGGTTCTTCTAGACCCATTATAGAAAACTAAATATCAAGCCTCAAAAATGTCAAGTTGATACGCCAATTACTTAACTGTACCAGGACAAAATCCAACAATCTTTAAGGAAATAAAATAGAGCACACGACAGTATCAAATTCAAAATGTCTAGGATATAACAAAAAAATTGCCAGCCTAGTGAAATTTAGGAAATATGACCTATAAGCAGGAAAAAAAATCATCAATAGAAATGGATCTAGAAATAATAGTTAACAAAATAAGTAGACAATTAAAAGCTTATTATAAATCTTACAAATATAGTCAAAATGTAAAGGGAGATTATAACCAAATTAATGAGAAGATGAAGTGCATAAAAATGGCCTAACCAGAACTTCTAAAACTGAAAAAATATATTAACTTTAGTGATGAAAAGAAATGAGCTATCAAGCTACAAAAGGAAATGGAGGAATCTCAGATATATATTAAGTGAAAGAAGCAAGTCTGAAAAGGCTACTTTACTATATGACATTCTAGAAAAGACAAAATTATAAAGAGACAGTTAAAAGATGTGTGGTTGCCTGTATTTGGAAGAAAGAAGGAAGAACGAGTAAATAAGTGGAACAGAAAGGATTTTTAGGATGATGAAACTATTCTGTGCAATATTTTAATTGTAAATACATGACATTATGCATGTGTCAAAACCCATAAAACTATGCAACACAAAGATTCAGCCTTAATGTAAACTAGACCTTAGATAATAATGTGTAAATATCTTTTCACCAATTGTAACAAATATATCACATTAATGCAAATGTTAATAAGAGAAAACTTCTTGCATTGCAGGGAAAAGGGGTGTTTGGAATTTCCCTGTGTTCTATGCTCTGATTTTCTGTAAACCAAATAGTGTTCTACAAAAGTAAAGTTTATTAATTTTTAAAAATTTTAAAAATACAATATCTAAATGAAAAATACTGGATGAGACCAAAAGCCAATTATGTCTTGCAGGAAAACTAATGAATCTGAATATATATATATACACCAATATAAATAATATAAAATGAAGCATAGAGGGAAAAAAGCCTGAAAATAAAGATAGTCTAGATTATGTCTGAAACATTAAATATTCCAATTTACATGTATTTGGAATACCAGAAATAAGGAAAGAGAAAAATATTTGAAAAAAATGGCAGAAAATTCACTAAATTTTTATGAAAACTATGAACACACAGATCCAAAAACTTTAGTAAGTTCCAAGGAGAAGCAACCTAGATAAAACCACATAAGTGTCATACTCAAAAGGCTGAAGCACAGTGATAAGGAAACTAGAAAAAAAAGCATGTTACATGTGAGAGAGAAATAATAAATAAGACTTTTTAGAAATCATGAGCCAGAAGACAAAAAAATCTTTAAAGTGTTGATAGAAAACCTCATAAACATAGAATGCTATTACCTATGAAAATATCTTTTAGAAACAAAAGTGAATTTTAAACATAGGAAAATTGAGGTTGTTGCAAAAGTAATTTACCATTACCTTCAATGGCAAGAACTGCAATTACTTTTGCACCAATGTAATAGAGATAATTTTTTGCCAATATATCTGCACTATGGGAGATATTGTGAAACATTTTTCTGAGAAGAAAATAACAGGTGAAAATTGATTTATAAAATAGAAATATTAGCAAATTGAATTCAGATATCCATAAAAAGGATAGCACAGCATGCCCAAGAGGGTTTTATTCCAGATAACACAAATTGGTTTTATATTTAAAAATCAATGAACATAATTTTTACCATTAATACACTAAAAAGAAAATTCATATTATAATACAAATTGACAGAATTGTTTTAAATAAAATTATGTATTCTTAATTAAGGAAAAAAAAACTTTCAGAAAACTAGGCATACAAAGGAACTTCCACAACATGCAGATGACATCATACTTAATTGTCAAACTGAATGTTTTCTACCAAAGATCAAGAACAAAATAGTATGCTTGCATCACTGTTATTCAATTATTCACTGCGTTAATACGAAGGGGAGAAAAAAACATGGGTGTATATATATACACATATATACACACATACGTATATGAATGGAAGCAGCAAAACTGTATTCACTGATTCATAAAATCACAAGAAATTGGCAAAGAAAGAAAACTGAGAACTATTAAGTAAATATAGCAAGATCACATGTTATGAGAACAATATGCACAATTCAACTCTATTTCTCCAAACTAGCAATCAACAATTTGAAATTTAAATAAAAAGGTCACACCTTTAACAATAGATCCAAACACATAAAATGTATTGGGATAAACTTAACAAGAGATGTCTAATATATTCACAAGGAGAACTGTATAACATTGCAGAAAATAAACAAATAAGCCTTAAGTAAATGGAAAGCTATACCATGTTCATGAAGCAGAAGACTCAACATTGTTAAGATGACAGTTCTCCAAATTAATCTACGTATTAAACAAAATTCCTAAAAATATCCCAGCAGACTTTTTGACACAAATTAACAGGCTAAATTCTGAATTGATATGGAAATATAAAGACCTAGAACAAACAAAACAATTTTGAAATGTGAAAAAAGTTAAAATACATAAATTTCCCATTTCAAAAATTACTGTAAATGCTACAGTGATCAAGACAGTGTGTTGCTGGTGTAAGACTAGGCATGTAGATCAACAAAAAATAGACACTCCAGAAAAATACCCATATACATGATCAATTAATGACAAATGTGTCACGGAATTTCAATAGGAAATGGATTCAATTTTCAGAAGACTGAGTTGATGCAATCAGATATCTACATGTGAAAAGATATACCTCAATGCTTACCCTCACATCATATAAAACTAACTCATAATGGTTCAGACTAAAGTGTAACAGCTGAAATTAAACGTTAGCATGTTCACGTAAGTTTTATTCCCAATTGCCTAAAATTACCTATCAACTAGTTAATAAACACATTTTCCTTCATCTATACACTAGAATACCACTCAGCAATAAAAGGGAATGTTATATACAACAACATGAATTAATCTTGAAAGAATTATGCTATGTGAAAGACATGAGGAACAAAAGTCAATATTCTGTATGATTACAATTACATGAAATCCTAGTAAAGTAAGGAGTACCTTCAAGCAGATGATTGGTTGCCAGTTGTGGCATATATTGGGAGAAGAGATGTACTGCAAAGGAGCATGAGGGAATATTCTTGAGTAATAGACATATTCTATATTTTGATTTTCATAGCAATTACAGAAGTATATACTTAAATTTGTAAACTGTATGAATGGAATTGCTCAATTTTAATTTAGATAATAATCTACGTTATATATGTTGTAAAATATAATTTCATGAAAGTATTTTTTTAAAGTGTTTATGCATGATTAGATTTCTACCAGCAATGGATGAGCCTTTCAGATTCCCTAAATCCTCAGCCAAACTTCCTGCTGAATGACTTTTTGTAAGTAGCCAATCTGATAGATATAAAGTTATATCTAAGTTGTACTTAACTGCTTTTCCCTTATTACTAATAAGGATGGACGTCATTGCAGCTGTTTATTGTTCATTTTCATGTGTACTTAATAAAAAATTGAAAGAATAAACCTATAATGAAGTTATTAAAAGTAATCTTTTCAAATTTGTAGAAATTATATTTTGGACATTTATTCATCAAATATGCATATTTCAAATATGGCTTTTGATTTATCATGCCTTTTGCTGAACAGCTCTTAACTTTAATCAATTCAATATTTTTATATTCAGTTTTTCAGTTCAGACTTTCTATTTAGCTAAAATATTCTCTGCCTAGGTTCAAGAAGAAATTCACATTCAATCTTTCCTTAATAAATTGGTTTCACATTTAAGTTTTAATCCATTGAAACAGAATATTGGTTGTGAAATGGGGTAGGGATATAAATTTCTATATTTTCTTCCTAACACTTTGTACAAGCCAAACTTATAAAAAAAGAAATTCATTTGCTTATCTACAATGTCAGTTCTGCCATATGTTTATTTCTACATACATGTGGATATATGTCTGAATTTTGTTTCACAGATCTAGGTATCTATTTCTATGCCCTTATTACACAATTTTAATTATTTCATAAACAAATTGCTAAAGCAATTTGTATAAAAATTATAGCAAATTGCTATAATTTTGATACAGAAATTTCCACCACTTTAACTATACTTGCCTCCTTCTCTTCTAAATAATTTACAGAATAAGTTCGTTAAGTTGTACAATCAAACTCTGAGTTTCTTGTTGCAATTGCATTGACATTAAAGATCCATTTGTAAGTAATTTAGGGGCTCTAATTTTTTAATCATTGCTTATATTTCAGTTATTTTTATTATGACATTTGTTAAGATATGTAGTCTACTATGCTGCAAGAAGTGGATGTCTGAAGATAATCTTAAAAATACTTATAATGAGATGGAAAAACTTGTAGTCCCATCAAGTTTTCACATTTTTCAGTTTACGAAGAAAATTGCCCCATTTTCCCCCTGAAATCAATTTGTACAGGTAAATTTGATGACAGTTTAGCCATATAGAACACAATGAAAATCTACTTTAATTTATACAATGATTTTAAGATTTATGTGCAAAACCAAAGAAACTTCACTTCAATCTCGAATCTCAGTTTTGATATCACTATTGATCAAGTTACCTATATGACCTATATGTTATTCACATGTCTATGTTAAATGCCTGGTAGATAAATGAGGTAGAGAAATAGATTAAGTTTTATACGTATGTGCTGTGGTTGGAGGGGTTATACAAGAGTAGGAACTTCATATAGTCATTCTGATTAATTGAAATAAAATGCACATCAAGAAGATACTGAAATAAAATGGTGGTCACGAAATAAGAGGAAAAAATATCCCTGCCCCTTAAAATGCTAGTAATTTAAATTTAATTGATTAGAAAAAATGATCCTGAAATCACAGTTCAAAATGAGATCTAATAGAATTTATTTACTCAAATGTGATGTCACCTGCAACATGTTCTGATATCAAATTGCTTATTTAAAAAATTCATATACCTTTTGAAAAATAACTTAAGAATAAAATCATGGGATTTAGCCTGCTCTATGTAAGTAATCCAATTGGTAACTTTTGGGTCACTTACCTGATCTAATTTGCTTTTTAAATTATTTTACGTATTAATGCATGCACTGCTTATTAAAACAAAGAAATGCACCCATCTACCAGAAAATAACTTAAACATAATTAGGTTATATAAAGATAATAGTCATTTTCTAATTAAATAAAATTATTTGTATTTCCCTTTTGCCATTTGCTATCCTATTATAATAAACTTCAGGTGTACTACTCTTTCCAAAAGACTTCAAATTTCTCATAGTCCAGCCTCACCAAAAAAACCCTCCTGCTTTCCTGCTTCATTTTGCCTCCAATCTAACAGTGTCTATAAGACCCCAGAGCTCGCACATTTGGCACTCCAGCATGGGGAAGGGCCAGGTAGCTTCATGACACATAGTGTAAACATACCTCACTAATTTCCTATAGGAGAATCCACCTACAAATCTTACCAGTATCCTGTCTACCTAGTCCTCTAAGGGAACAGGGGATTACGAGGGCATTCATAGCCGTTGAATTTGGTTTTGTCCTATATTATAATTCATCTGCTCAGTAGAAGTTAGTTTAAGTCACCTATAATTGTAGCAATATATTTTACAATAGACTGATAACAGCTCATGATTTATAGAAAGAAACCACTTCAATGAAGATTAAGCCATTTAGTAGGCAGAAATTTTGCTGGATTCTTTAGAAGAATTCAATTTCACCACAGAAAAAGGATACAATGTAGCTTGATACTTTTTACTCTGTACCTGGTACAAATTTGAACATTTAATGAAATGGAAATATCTTTATTATCATTGCTGCTAACATGGCGATCAATGTGATGCCCATTGGCTTGATACGAAGAACTCAAAGCAAGACAAGTGACGTAAGACCTGGGGTTCCAGTCCTGGTTCCATCATTTATTAACTTCAGAACCTTAGGAAATCCTGAACTATATTGTTTAGATGTAAAAAAGGAGATGGATGTTTACCTGCCTGATGAATAAAATTGTTATTTCAGAAAAATATTAACATCAGGGAGAGTATATTATACACTTTCTATTCTGAGAATTTCAGCATATAGCAATTTTTTCAAGACATTTTTGTCCACAATTACAATTTTGATGTGTTAATATTTTTCATCTAAAGTACATATGCTTTGTTATTGTCATGAGTATATAGATTTTGAAATAATTTTATAATTCAGTAGCTAGATAAGCTCTATTTTATAAAGACTCCAACTTCTATCCATCCAGAAGGCTAAAAAATTTTGAATACATTTTAAAGGAAACTGAACACTGTCTAAAACATGAATTAGCTACAGTTCAGTTGCTCCTTTCCTCTAATTTACCTCAATTATGTCACTTGCATTAAGGTAAATAGTATAATTTATTAAAAATGTCAAACTTCACATTTCACTTCCTTGATTGATTTCAGCTATTTAGAAATTATGACATTGTACTTGTTGCCACATTTTAGCAACCACCACAGCTTGCAGCACTTCCACTGTTTTCGGTTTTTATTTTTTAACCAAAGCAAGGATACTTTAAGATGTATTGCTTTTATATAAAAATTTATATTTTTTAAAAGGCCAACAACTTCACTGTGTTGCTTTTAATGACATTTGTTTCTTTCTTCTCAGAATGAGCAGTATTCCTTTCCCATTGAAGAGATACTCAGATTTGTCAGAATAAGTTTTTTTTTTTCTACTCAGAATTGAGAGATTGACCCAATATACAATGTAAGGAGAGAAATAAAGCAGTCTACATTCAAGTAATTTATAAATCTCAGACAGAATTTATTCCTTCATGACACAGGATCCAATGTCTGAAAGAGAAAATACACAAAGAGTAGCTCTCTGAGAAATAGAAATTCATACATTTTCTTTTTCACAGCAATAGCCAGGTTCGGCCAATATTTTAACCAGTAAGAATGGTAATACAGAATTTTGTTTCACCGAAAAACAATGCATAATTTTTAAACATAATATTGCAAATGTAATTATTTTTATAAATTTGTAAATCATTCTTAATTCAAACTACCAGCCTCTTTTGAGCTGACTATTGTAACTGATGTAAACTATCCACTTTAGCATGCCACACCATTCACAGATAAAAGTTGATTAATGGTAATGAAAATAATGTGTTATATTGTATCTCTAAATAGATCTGAATAAGTTTGATAATCAGGGAAGAGTTGGAATAACATTGCTATTGTATTTTTATGTGCCCAATAATTAGAACATTTGAAAGTGGATGGATTCATTCATCTGCCAAGATAGTACTGTCTTAGTAAAAACACCTTTGAAAGATTATTATCTAGCCTAGCCACTTATGAGACTTCTACTAGCAACAGAAAATTACCCTTTATCTTGAATTCATCCTTTAGATGTATTACCTACAATTGGTGTTCTTCTACAATGCATTTTTTAAGGGAACTTTCTTTGATTAAGAAAGATGAGATAAGATGAAAAGACAAGAATTTTTCTCACTGATTCTCAAAATAATGTCTTTGTCCTGTTAAGATGTCACCCTTTCCAAAATACCAGCCAGGGCAGGTTTCCTGTGGGTTAGCTCATTCTCATTACCCCTTTCAATCCCTTTCCCCCTTGCTTCCTTAAACCAGAGGAGTCGAAAATGGATTATTCGACTTCCTTGTGCTCATGCAGCTTACAGGGGTGAAAGGGTTCATGCGATCTAATTCTGGTCAATAAGATGGAAGCTTAAGTCCCTGTCTCCTGAGCAAGCATCTGCTCTCATTTTTCTCCTGTCTCTTTCTTACTGCCTGAAATGCATATTTGATGTCTGGAAGTGCAGTAATTATATTCCACTATGGACGCAGACAATGCAAAGAAAAAGAAGAAAGGAAGGAGCCTACATTTTTGATGAATACATTAAGCACTTCTTTTCCAGGTATTCTGCTACTCACAAACCACCTAGAATCCCAGATAGTTAACTAGCCCTTCTAAAGAGTGAAAAGATGGTGAAGGAGAAAGGAAATAGAAGAATAAGACACTATCCACGAGACTATCTTACTTGAATTCAACTGCAGAGAATTGGAAGAGAACTTAGAACTATTATAAAGGCCTCTCATTTCACAAAAGAGGAAAACAAAGCCCTGTAGTTGGTAAGCGACATTGCCCATGTCTATGTAGCTTATTTACCTAATGGTGAAGTATGATCGGGTCTCTTGACCATCAGTTCTTTCCACTCCCCGTGTTATCATGTCCAAATGAGCTAAGAATTAAGTAAGGCTTGATCTTCAATTTCTCTCCCCTATCACTGTGAACTCTACCACACCATTTGCACACATAGGAGTGGTGTGAGATTTGTAGGTACGTGGAGGAATGCACGGGAAGGGGGTTGTGGAGGGTAATTGTGGCATTAGACAATTTTTAACTTGTAAAATACTTTTTTCCCCCTGTAACAATACCTTTCCCTCATAAATTTTATTGTTTTCTGGCTAAAATATTGCATAAATCCTGCTTTAAAATTTGAGAATAAAATAGAAATTAACTTGTTCTATTTTTCCACATTGAGGAAAAAGAGGCATATCCAATTTAAATAGTATTATTTTACAATTTCCTAACTATATTCATATATATAGATGAGTCTAGATATGTAAGAAGATAGAAGGAGAGGGAGAAAGAGAGCTTCCTAACTATTCACATTTAAAAGCTAGGCCTACTAAAAAGCTCTGGGTTTATCTCTCTCTACTTTGAGGTTAGTTATTGCCCATCACTAACAGATCCAGTGAAGGGTAAGAATTCTGATGAACACATGGCCAGCAGGATGATAACTTCTGGGCTTTGCATCAGCACTGTGGTTCATGGAAGACTAGAGACAACAGAGAAAAATCCACCTAGAGTCCTCAGCGGACTGGGAAACTTGGCAGGTCATGCGGCAAAGCATTCAGTCACAGGGAAATGAGATGATGTATTAACTTATTTATTTTGGATAGTATAATGCTTTGTTGGTTTTTTCCGTGTTTGGGAACAAATAAAAAATTGTTTAATTGAAGTATAATATGCTATAGCAGATGCTATTGATGTGTAACCTACATTTTCTCCATCCACTCCAGAAGTCACGTGCAGCTGTGGTGAGCAGAGCTATACATGTTGGTGTTTGTTGTTTGGTCTGTATTGTTCATTGCCTTTAACCTTAAACAGAACACATTAAAAAAAAGACTTGGCTTACAATTTTCACTCTGTCCTTTTTCTTAGGAAATTCATGCAACTTCTCCGAGTCTCTGATTCCATGCACATTAAGCAGAATTAACATTAATTTTGCTATCTTACATCCACTGCAGCATGCAGGCCAGCAGTGTGGCTTATATGAAAGTACTTTGACAACTGTGAATGAGCCTACAGATATAAATTGTTGTCAGGTACCTTTTTTATACTCTAAATATCTTGAGTTTGAAGCCAGTGCAATTCTGTGCAGAGCAGTAGAAGGAAATTGTTCAAGCAGGTTCGAGTATAATTAGCACAAGGGTATTTCCAAAGAGGTGTCTTAGACTATATTTAACTCCCTCATAATCTCCGTCATTACCAATGTCACTTTGCCAGGGAAAATTATACAGAGAATGTAAATAAGATTAATTTTAGAAATAAAAATGTGCTAAACATGTTGACGTGCATCATTTAATAAAAAGGCATGCATTGTTCTTGCTATGCAAATGCAGTTTTAAAACAAAACCTTCCGATCAATCTTCCCTGAAACAGAATCCCTGAGCTGCCATTGAGCTAAGAGCATAGGTTCAGCAATTATTCTGCCCTCTTACATGTTCTGGAACCATGTCAAACCAGGTCCTTACACCAATGAATGCACTGCTGTGGGTTACTATCACAAGCAGGCTCAGCAAAAATTAAATTTAGAAAGCAAAGAATATGGACTGTTCCTTACTGGAAATAAATGAAATGGCTTTTCTTGAAGAATAAGGAAGATAGTGGCTGACAATTGTAAAAGGTATTTCCAAAGTGAATCCATCTTGGATTGATTCCCTACCACCTGACTGTTCCCATTACAGCCTTGTCTGCCGTGGGGTTGCTTCTGGTTTACTTGATACAACAGAGAGCATGAGACTACCATGACTTTCAAGGCAGTCATCTGACAACCTTTTCTGTAAACAGCATAATTAAATATTTTAGGCTTTATGGGTCATAAGGTTTCTGACACAACTACTCAACTTTGTCCTTGCAGTACAAAAGCCTCATAGCCAACTATGAAAGTAGGCAATGTTCTACATGATGCCAGAGACAGTACAGAAAGAATGAGTGGGGCTGTGTTCCAATAAAACTCTACTGAACACAACAGACAGCTTCCCAAATTTCGCCTCTGGGTCATAGTTTGCTCATCTGTGCCCTAAGGCATGCAGCTCCTAGAGATGCTACCTGCTTGAGAGTGATGTTTCATTTCTGCACTTGAAGCTACTAAAGCTTATGGATATTGATGCTACAATTTTACCTGGACTGCTATTCCAGAAACAGGTGTCTTTTACATGAGCTACAAGGAATTGATCACAATAGTGTGTATCCACTTTTTCCCTACCGCCAGCTAACCTTTCTCATTCTGTTCTTATCACCCCTAGATTGAAATTTCACACAAATGTTCGAACTCCTCCAGAGTTCATGCTCCATGACAAACTGCTTGACTACTTCTTGAATGATAGTGGGGACTAAAAGAGAAAGAAAAGCAAAAACAGTACTATCTTTTTACTCCAAGAAAGTAACAAGAAGCCCTCCTTTTCCTTTGCTTGTTCCTACCGATGATAGTGTGGGACAACCACAAATGTCTTCCACAACTTTCCTATTGCTTTGCTCCTAGCTCAGCATCTCCCCGCAGAGTTCACTCAGCAGATTTTTCGTCAAAGCTTTTGCTGGAGAGTATCACGTTTTTAGTTTTGTTTGAGTTGTTCAAGGATCTACAGGAGAAGGATCTAGGCTGAGTGATCTAGCTTGAAATGCCTGCCTCCATCCTCACAGAAGCTGGGGCAGATAATCAAGGAACATAATAAATACAGAAAGACTTCCAAGAGCATTGCTTATGTTTCTTTTCATTTAACTATAAGGTCATTTTCATTCCCTGAGAAGGTAAAATTCATCTTCCCTTAAGATGAGCTATTGATTGGTTTATACTGATCTTTCCCTGAGGAAGAATCTAAGGCCCCAGAGAAGCCTGACAGAGGAAGAAGCCTTCACCCCTCCTAACAAAAAGTTTGAAAAAAAAAAATTTTTTTCTTGGTTTCATAATTGCCTTGGATCTCTAATTTAAGCATTACAACACCGGGATATCTTGCCATCTAGGGAGAGAAAGATAAAATTGTCAGAAGCACATGATAATATATAATACATTCTGAAATGCACCCTGCAAAACTCATTAGATATCCTTTAGTCTTCTCTAATTATCCCAGTGGCCTATCAGCAGTTGCTTATAACATCATAATACAAAAAGATATTTTTAACTGGCAAATGTTCAAGCTTTCATAAAATTATTTAGGGGCAAGAATTTTTTTTTTTTTTTTTTTTGCCTAATAAGATTTCATGTACAGGAGATTCAACATAAGGTAACAAAGAGCTTTGATTATTATATTTCAGAGCCTGGGAGTCAAATGCAAAAGCTAAAAGAAAATTCTGTTCCTCTGTGGGAGAACACTCTGCAGAACAAAGACCTTTTACTACCCAGGACTTTTCTGAGTTTTAGATGTTGATTTTCCTTACTTTTCTTTTCAAGATCAGAATGTCTCTATTAGTGCCTTTTAGACAGGAATATCATGCAGAGAATGGAAAGGGCACCACAGACTGGAAAACACGACTTATTGTATAGATTACAAGCATTGCAATTTATTTAATTATGAAGTTATTCCAATTCCCATATATTTTGCATTGGCTAACAATATGTTAAAACCCCCAAAACAGAGTCAACAAAAGTGAAAACTGAGTTGATAATTTGCTTAAAGACTCTACAAATATTGAGCTTTCATCTCTGAAATGAGGGAAGGGAGACAAAGAGGAACATATGACTTTGTATGCTACTCAATGTATATAATATGTGTTTTCAAAATGTATATATTTTTATATATGCATGTTTATATAATTCTGATATACATACACATTTATATATAGGCATATGCACAAAAGAACCATACATACATATGGCTGTGGTTTATATTTGTATATGTATATAGAAAGATATATAGGTAGAGTCTTTTCATACTTTTGTCATATCTACGGCTTAAGCATTTAACATTTTCTATTTTAATTAAAATTGAGGCATTAGAATTGAAACTTGTGCAAAGAAAAATATTGGAGCTTTATAGAAGCTTTCAAGCCTGAATGTAAGTGGCAATTCTGGTTATGAATACGGATATATTTTAATTTCATATGATTGACTTATATTTAAATTTAAATAGAATATAATACACTTCTGAACTCTTTCTCATTCCTTCAGGGAAAAGGTACTAGTATGAAGTTATACTGAGGCGTGAGAAGTTAGTAATAAGAATGGTGGCCAAATAATAAAGTTTTTGCAGATTGACTTGTGCCAAACTTGTTTCTCACAAGAGACATCTAACGTTTCTGTAAGACATAAAATATTGTCAGCCTCTACTGTCCAAATAAGCTTCCCTAGAAGTTTTGTGTTGAAAGAAAATATGACAGATCATCCCTGATGATCACTGACTAAACTTTAGAAACTGACAGTTGTGTCAGCATATGTGATATGGGTGTTGCTGTGGCTGCCAAGAAAAACTCGGTCATGGAAGACCTAGCATTTGTAGCAATGGTTAGTGTGCCATAGCCAGGGCAGAATCACAGTACAGGGACACAACCAAGATGTTCCAGAACATCTGCTCCCAGGAAAAAGCGAAATCCATGAGGATGACAGGGTCGAAACACTTGCAGTGACTCCGAGCGCCCTTGGAGAAAAAAAAGGCACAAGGCAAGAGTAAAAATAATAGGCTAGTTAGTCCTAAGGGGAGAGCCTTGCCAAATTTTTAGAAAAGAATATGTATTTCTCCCCACTTTGTGTTTGGTGACAGTGGGCAGAGAGGGTTCCCTGTTTCCTCTCTTCGAATATACAGGCAGATGGCCTCTTAGAAGAAAGTGTCTACTGGAGCACTCAGTAGCTACTACTGGAAAAATCAAGAGAAAAGAGCCAGGTCAAATGTGAACCCTTCTTATGGAACCAAGAGGTAGATATGGTTCCTAACCATGACCCAACAGTAGTGAAGGGAAAGCTCTGCTTAATACAAATAAATGAAAAACAAAAAAACTTAGGGTCCATTATATTTGGAAGAAAATTATAGTGATCAAAAACATGAGCTCTGGAATCGCATACCTGAGTTGTTACAAAGCTTCAGGCAAATAACTCACCATTTCTAAGCATCGGATTCTATATCTGCAAAATAAGTACAAAATAGTGTATAGTCTTGGGGCTGTTGAGAGACTAAAATGAAAAAAATGCATGTGAAGTTTTTTTTTTTTTTGTTTAGCGTATTTGGTATACAGTAAGCCTTTTGTTAAAGTTACATATTGATAACGACTAGCACTCTGCAGAAGAAAGTAAATGGATAGGCACTTAAAATCTCTAACACTTCCATGAATATAGGAATTCAGGAAACTGATGAGGGGCTCATTTTATTTCATAAGAAAATAAAATAACTTTCTAATGGTTTCTCACCTTGAATAACAATAACAATTCCTAATTCTTATTAGTAACTGATTATATCCAATAGGAAATAGGTTTCGAGTTTTACAAAAAAGGCAGTGACAGAGGAAACTAATACTAACAAAGTAATGCCATTTGGATTTGGATGACTATTTCCTCATGTATTGGAAGTTTTAATGTAATTTTTGACACACACACACACACACACACTAGCACCTGCTCTGCCTTCTGATGCTTAATTTCCTTTACCTAAAATTATAATTTTAGATTCCATTGACAGATTGTCCTATTGTTATGATTTATGTTCATTTTAAAAAGATACCTTTAAAACATCTCTGGATCTTTCTCAATACAAATGATTTTATGTTTTTCTGAGCACCCTCAATTACTTCATAACAAAACGATACTTCATTTTTCCCACAGGCAATTCATAAAATCTGTCACTTCCCTTCATGACATTTTCTGTAATATTTTTACATGGGGCTTTACTTATGAGGTCATTTGTAAGAAATGCCCCTAAAAGGTATCATTATGCATTTGAATAAGTCTTATAGCTGATGCAAAACCACTGTGGCTCTCTTTACAGCGGTTTTTGTTTGATGTCTATTTTTTTGAGGACTCTTGCCTCTAAACTTGTAAGCCATATGTAGCTTTCGGAGACATGTTCAACAATAACAAACGAGTTAATTTCTTTCAAAAGTGGAAAGAAAAGTGTCTTCTGTTCTCACATTTCCAAAGATTTTCACATAGATCTGTCATCTCATCATCTAGGAAACAGGGCCTAGTATTTCCAGTGCAGGCCATAATTTTAGAGTTAAGTCTTTTAAAAGACACGGTCAAAAGATTAACTTCAGAAAGGTGCTCATTGGCTGCTTTCCAAAGGCCAAGGGCAAAAATAAATAAATAAATTTAATTACTTTTGTTATTTTAGACTTTGGTATGCAGCATGACTAAAATGACCAATAATTTTCCAGGACAGTTCTGTTTACTCCTTTCCCATAAGTACACAGCTGTCAGGCTCCGTACTTTACACCTTTTGGTCTAAATGTTGTCTCTGTTAGTGTAATTGCAGCTGAGGCTGCATGGTATTTTCTTTGTCAACACTTTAATACGTGACTTTTGATGCCTAGACTACTCAAGAAGTACATAACCAAAATCTTTCTTGGTCAAATACTCACTACAAGGTAGAACTTTCTTGCCATCTTTGCTTTGTTCATTTATCATAAAAAAAAGCAGGCATCTGTGCAGCTTTTTCCCATTTTAGTTTTCCAGAAACCTGACAGGAAAAAAAGGCAATAAGACAACTGAGAATTGATATTTTTCTTTTTCTATGAAATAAAAAAAGAATGTGTATTAGAAAGTTGAAATGCCTGTTAGTTGGAGACCCAGAATATTGCCTTGGTTCTGAACAACTTTAGATTCGTAAAGTACCTCAGCAGGTAAAAAACTACCACTGGAGCAGCCGCAGCCAGCTCTGCATTGACAGAATATCCTACCCTTATTTCTTCTGCTCTCCCATTCACTGTCTTTTCATTGGTCAGCTAAAGAGGATGAGTGGGGGACAGGCTAGAAGAGGTTGCTCCACTTTGGGGTAGTACCCTCCCCATTTACATCCCAATTCTCAGTCACTAAGTTTTAGACAATCATCTGGATATTGCAGGAATTTTTTTTTTTTTTTTTGCTTTACCATTCCTAGAATACTGAGAGCTGTGACTTTATGACATCCAGCTTGTCAAGTGTAACAAAGGCAGGACGTATTTGACATGTGAAGAAAGCTTCTGTATCACAGGCCTACAGCAAAGCTGATGAAACAGTAATAAAATAACAGGTGTCATATAAGATTAACTGGGACATATACACCTCTCCTAACATGATCTCAGCTCACTGCTATCTGGGCTCATAAAAGCTGCATCAGAAACATGGAGGAGGGCTCCATGGTTCAAATACAATTCTATTGCCTCCAGAAAAACCTTAATTAAATTTCAAACAATGGAATTTGTGTTAACAGAAACGTAATTGCTAATAATTGCTCCCATTCAGCATTATTTATTTTCATCAAGTGCAACCTAGTTATTGCATCCTCCCGCTAGCCTCAACTCATCTTTCACTTGGCACACAGTCACTTTACGAGTCACGTAAGGTGCGCCCCCGCCTTTCTCCTCAAAGGCAGTCGGCTCTCATCCATGTCAAAGTGTACGTTGTCCTCTTCAGTGATATGAAAGTCTATTCAGGCATAGTGATTCATTGTGGTTATACTCAATCATACTCTATTACTCCAGCATTTTACTTAATCATTGTCAGCCAGGTCCACCCATTTTTGCTCTTGCCCTACTACCTTCACACTCATGAATGTGGCAGATGCAAGGATGCCATTAATGCTGGTCAATTTTTTTCCTAGGTTGCACAGATGGCCCAGCTGTATTTATAAAATGTGATGCTTCCTCATCAGTATTTTAACAGAGTAAAAGCTTCCATTATGAAAGAATCTTGAAATTACTGATCTCTTAATTTGACAGTTCTTTCCAATACATTTTAAAAATAAATTTGGATGGCAGGTGTTATTTCCCCTTTCTCTCAACTTAGCTATTGTTTTAAGGCTATCTTTCTACTTATCAGAAGTAAGTGTGTATTGTATTTTTTTGCTTCCAAAATGAAAGTCTTAGCCTGTGTCTTACGCAACCAGGTACAAATTTTAAAAATTGATTGAGACAGTTTATATTTCTGCTAACATATATTCCCCATTTAATGTGTGCTTCTCAGAGTTCTAAATAATTTGTCTTTTTATATTACCCCCTGATGATGGTGTTAATTTGTCCCAATTTTACAGATGAGGAAACTGATTCTCAGAATGGTTAAGTTGGCTTCAGGTTGAATTATGTTCAACACACCTAAGTTTGGGCCTTAGAATAATATGTACTTGTTGAGTGACTCTGGAGAACTACTTAAATTCTGAGGTTTATATCCCTTCTCTGAAAATATAAAAAGAACCACCTCCAAGTTCTCTTGTGAGAGTTAAATTATTTAATATGTGCAATATGTCTGACACATAATACATACTCGATAAGTGGTAAATATAATGGTCACAGCAATTACAGACAGATATAAGAGGAAATATATTTTATGTGTGTGGCTTTGCATTTATCTACTTAACACCAATTTCTTAAATCAACCATCCTCCCTGCAGAACTAAGTAGTTTGGTTAGCGTTGTATCAATATTTCCTTCCAGTTTCAAATGCATCCATTTTTTTCCACACATTTTATGATCAGAAGGTGAGGTCAGTTCCTTGTTCACTCCCACATGCCTTCCAGGAAATTGTTTTCTATATTAAAAATAAACTTAGAAAAACAATGCTGCTCCTCCTTCAAGGTTTATACTACCCAACTACATCATCTTCCCCTCTTTTCATTATCTTTTTGCACCTATCTCTTGGTTATTCATTTTCGTTTCTGTAGTATCTGGCTTCATATTTTTTCATCATCTTCTTCCAGTATCCTAGGGGACTTGAACTTTCTAAAGCCTCAACTATTGATAATTCTTCCTATTCATCTTTAACGATATTCTTGTGACAACTTTGAATAAAGTACAGTGCACATATTACTCAGCTCCACTCCTGAAATCAACAAGTCTCCTATCCCTCTCTGACTGCAGCTTCCCATCCTTTACACAAAAAAATGTTGAAATTCATAGAAGGTCTTAAATTTATTTTGGTCTCCAGTTATGAATCATGCAGCCTCCTCCTGGCTTTATGTCCTTCCTATTCACTGTGCATTTCCTGGTCCATCAGAACTGCTACTGTCTTACAGACCCCTTAATCCTCTGACACTTGCGTTCTGCTCCCACAGCTCCGTCTCACACTTCCGAATGCAATGTTGGTCAGAAGAACCACAACTGGACAGATTGTTTTCACAATCAATTCATGACCACCAACCACAAACAAATTCACATATGAAACCTCAAAGCTGCCAGGCCGCCTTGTTCTAGAAATCATGTGCTTTCATAGTTTTTCATCAACCATCTAAGATGTTTGCTTCTCTCCTCAAACCTTCAAGCTCTCCTTCACACTCCTTCTGTGTTAATACACTGTGTCCATGTCATAGTTCAGAGAAATTAAAGTCATCAGTTGGTTTCTTCCTTAACTCCGACACCAATCTTCTTCTGTCTTTTTAAGAGTTTTCCTCCATTTCTCACTAACTTTTTCTAATGTGTGGTAAGTTTTTTTTCCCATCTTTTCAGGAATCTTGTTCCACTGCAAAGCAAAAAGCCTTATAAATTTTCTTAAAGATGTGTTGACTGAAGTGTCTTATAGACTTTCTTTGCTCGTTCTTCAATCTTTCTCTTCATATGAAAATGTTTTCTATCCTTATTTAAATGTGGTCTTGCCTTTCCCAATAACATTTAGCAAAACAAAATACCCTCTTTAAACCCTCTGTCGTTTTTCCAGTCTTTTCTCTATCAACTTGTCTAGTCAAATTTCGTGAATTAAATTCGCCTAACCGGGTGCCTTTACTTCCGTAACTATTTTTCAGGCTTCACTTCCAAATCAGTTCCTAGTTCCTACTACCTACCACCTAACCACTCTGATGTTGTCAACACTTCTGTGCATTTTACCATTCAATATATGTATTTCAATCCTGGTACAATTTGATCTTTCATCAGCATTTGACAGCTGCTCACTTTCACCTTATTAACAAACTGTCATATTCACCCTTTTGTCCATTTCCTTTTCTATCTCCTCCTTTATTAAACATCAAAATGCTGGTGATTCTTTGTCCTGAACTCTCTTCTTTTCTCCATGTGCATTATTTCTCTTTTTGATCACTTCCATCCCTAACTAGTGACTGGAAACTAGATATCACATGTAACAAGTAATTGTAGACTGGGTTCTATGGTTGAAGGGTAAAAATCAAAGCCCACAGGCTGAAATCTGCTTTGCTTTGCAGAAGGATTCAAACATTGCAGAGTAGTCCATTTTTTGCATGATCCACTGCTGTGGGGTATTTGCATTTTAAAAATCTTTCCTTGAAGATTGTGTGCTTTTATATTTGAATTATTAGGTGAAAGCTCTAAATCTATTTTTCAGAAGAAGGTTCATAAAATCCCTAGCTGATAATGCTGCAAAGCCATTTAACGTAAGACCTCATCCTCGGGATGAAGGCATATTATTATACTCAATAACTGAAGGACCTAAAGATCATCAAATACCCAAGAATTATCATAACCAGCCAGCTTTCTGACTTACAAATTTTGGAAAACTACATAAAACAGTAAATTAAAATTTAACACACACATGCACACACACATGTACACATACACATACATGTATAGATATGTGTATATGTATTTGTGTGTGTGTGTATATGTACATGTGTGTATATATATATATAATATATATGCAGGAGGAGGAAGATGGAAACAAAAGCATCATTCAATCCTGCTCCTTTTAAAAATGTTTTTCTGTCCCAAATCCCTAATAAATCTGAAAAAAGGTTCATATAATTAAACTATTAAGTTTTGGAAAGAACTATATAACATCCATGATCTTGATTTTCAAAAAAAAATATTCGTTTTAAAAATACAACAATTTTTCCAGTTTTAGTTCAACAAAAATGTTCCTTCTAGTAAGGTGACTAACTTTGCTCATCAATTAAGCTACTGTGATCTTTTTTGTTGAAAGAATTCACTGTCAATCTGCTCTGAACAACATCTTTGTATACAGCCTAGATATGA